>NC_000014.9:18223523-18523523 GCF_000001405.40 Homo sapiens | reverse complement strand
GAGGGACAAACATTCAGACACTCGTCGAAGTGTTCTGGAATCCTATGTGAGGGACAAACATTCTGAATCCAGCAGCAATGCTCTGAGTCCTTTTTGAGGGACAAACAAACAGAACCCAAGAGCCGTGTTCTGGAATCCTTTCTGAGAGAAAAACATAAAGACCCTCGTAACAGTGTTATCGAATCCTTTTTGAGGGACAGACACTCAGAACCCAGAGGCAGTGTTTTGGAATGCCGTGTGAGTGACAAAGATTCATAACTTCGTAGCAGTGTTCACGAATCCAATGTGAGAGACAAACACTTAAAACCCAGCAGCAGTCCCCAGGAATCATTTGGGAGGGACAAACATTCAGAACCCAGCAGCCATGTTCTGGAATCCTATGTGAGGGGCAAACACTCAGATCCCTGCAGCCGTGTTCTGGATCCTATGTGAGTGACAAACACTCAGAACCCAGCAGCAGTCTTCTGGAATACCATGTGAGGGACAAACACTCAGAAACCAGCAGCAGTTTTCCGGAATCCTATGTGAGTGACAAACACTCAGAAGGCAGCAGCAGTTGTCTAGAATCCTTTGTGAGGGACAAACCTTGAGACCCTCGAAGCAGTGTTCTGGCATCCTATGTTAGGGACAAACACTCAGAACCCAGCAGCAGTGTTCTGGATTCCTTTGTGATGGACAAATATTCAGACCGTCGTAGTAGTGTTCTGGAATCCTATTTGAGGGAGAAACACTAAGAAAGCAACAGAAGTGTTCCGGATTCCTATGTGAGGAACAAACACTCAGAACACAGCAGCAGTGCTCAGGAATCCTTTGTGAGGGAGAAACATACAGAATCCAGCAGCTGTGTTTTGGAAACCTATGTGAGGGAAAAACATTCAGTACCTCCTAGGAGTGTTCGGGAATCGTATGTGAGGGACAGACAGTCAGAACCCAGCAGCAGAGTTCTGGAATTCTATATGAGGGACAAACACTCAGAATGCAACAGCAGTGTTCTGGAATCCTATGTGTTGGACAAATACTCAGAAGACAGCACCATTTTTCTGGAATCCTATGTCAGATAAAAACACTCAGAACACAGCAGCATTCTTCCGGAATACTATGTGGGTGACAAACACTCAGAACCCATCAGTAGGATTCTGGAATCCTATGTGAGGGACAACACTCAGAACCCAGCAGCAGTGTTCTGGAATTCTAAGTGAGGGACAAACACTCAGATCTCAGCCAATGTGTTCTGCATTCCTATCTGAGGGACAAATATTCAGACACTAGTAGAAGTGTTCAAGAATCCTTTGTGAGGGACAAAGTCACAGAAACCAGCAGCTGTGCTCTGGAAACCTTTGTGAGGCACAAACAAACGGAACCCAGATGTAGTGTTCTGGAATACTTTGTGAGGAAAAAACATTGAGACCCTCATAGCAGTGTTCTGGAATCCTACGTGAGGGACACACCTTCAGAACCCAGCAACAGTGTTCTGAAATCCTATGTGAGAGACAAGCATTCAGAACGTCGTAGCAGTATTTGGGAATCCCATGTGGAGAACAAACACTCAGAACCCAGCCACTGTGTTCTGGAATCCTTTCTGAGGGACAAACAGTCAGAAACCAGCAGCAGTGCTCAGGAATCCTTTGTGAGGTACAAACATACGGAACCCAGCAGCAGTGTTTTGGAATCCTATGTGAGGGACAAACATACGGAACCTCCTAGCAGTGTTCTGGAATCCTATGTGTGACAAACCCTCAGAACCCAGCAGCAGTGTTCTAGAATCCCATATGAGAGACAAAATCTCAGAACCCGTCAGCAGTGTTCTGGAATCGTATGTGAGTGACAAACACTCAGAACCCAGCAGCAGTGTTCTGGAATCCCATGTGAGGGACAACCACGCAGATCCCAGCAGCAGTTTTCTGGAATCCTATGTGAGAGTAAAACACTCAGAAGCCAGCAGCAGTGCTCTAGAATCTTTTGTGAGGGACAAACAGTGAGACCTTCGAAGCAGTGTTCTGGAATCCCAGGTGGGAGACAAACACTCAGAACCCAGCAGCAGTGCTCCGGAATCCAATGTGATGGACAAACATTCAGACCCTCATAGCAGTGTTCTGGAATCCTATGTGAGGGACAAACACTCAGAACCCAGCCACTGTGTTCTGGAATCCTATCTGAGGGACAAACATTGAGACACTCGTATAAGGGTTCTGGAATCCTATGTAAGGAACAAACACTCAGAAACCAACAGCAGTGCTCTGGAATCCTATGTTAGGGCAAACACTCAGAACCCAGCCGCAGTGTTCTGGAATCCTTTGTGATGGGCAAACATTCAGACCCTCGTAGCAGTGTTCTGGAATCCTATGTGAGGGACAAACACTCAGAACCCAGCAGCAGTGCTCTGGATTCCTATGTGAGGACACTCAGAATCCAGCAGCAGTGTTTTGGAATCCTGCGTGATCAATAAAGATTTACAACTTCGTAGCTGTGTGCTGGAATCCCATGTGCGGGACAAACACTCAGAACCCAGCAGCAGTGTTCTGGAATCTTATGTGACGGACAAACACTCAGAACCCAGCAGTAGTGTTCTGTAATCCTAAGTGAGGGAGAAACTCTCAGAACCCAGAAGCAGTGTTCTGGAATCCTTTGTGAAGGACAAACTTTCAGAACCTCATAGCATTGTTTTGGAATTGTATGTGAGGGACAATCACTCTGAACCCAGCAGCAGTGTTCTGGAATCCAACGTGAGGGATAAACACTCAGAACCCTTCAACAGTGTTCTGGAATCTTATGTGAGTGACAAACCCTCAGAACTGGCAGCAGTGTTCTAGAATCCTCTATGAGGGACAAATATTCGGAACATGGAAGCAAGATTGTGGAATCCTATGTGAGGGAGAAACACTCAGATACCAGCAGCAGTGTTGTGGAATCCTTTGGGATGGACAAACATTCAGACTCTCGTAGCAGTTTTCTATAATCCTATGTGATTGACAAAGGTTCATAACCCAGCTGCAGTGTTCTGAAATCTTATGTGAGAGAGAAACATTCAGATATTCACAGCAGTATTCTGGAATCCTACGTGGGGGACAAGCACGCAGAACCCAGCCACTGTGTTCTGGAATCCTATCCGAGGGACATACATTCAGAAACTTGTAGAAGTGTTCTGGAATCCAACGTGAGGGACAAACACTCAGAACCCAGCAGTAGATTTCTGGAATCCTATGAGAGTGACAAACACAAGCCAGCAGTAGTACTCCAGAAATCTTTGTGAGGGACAAACAATGAGAACCTCAAAACTTTGTTCTGGAATCCTATGAAAGGGACAAAAACTCAGAACCCAACAGCACTGTTCTGGAATCCTTTGGAATGGACAAACATTCAGAGCGTCGTTGCAGTGTTCTGGAATCCTATGTGAGGGACAAACACTCAGAACCCAGCAGCAGTGTTCTGGAATACTTTATGATGGACAAACATTCAGACCCTCGCAGCCGTGTTCTGGAATCATATGTGAGGGACAAACACTCAGAACCCAGCAGCAGTGTTCTGTAATCCTATGTGAGGGAAAAACCCTCAGAACCCAGCAGCAGTGTTCTGGAATCGTAAGTGAGGGAGAAATACTCAGAAACCAGCAGCAGTGTTCTAGATTCCTTTGTGAGGGACAAACATTCAGAACCCAGCAGCAATGTTCTAGAAACCTTTGTGAGGGACAAGCACTCAAAACCCAGCAGCCGTGTTCTGGAATCTTTTCTGAGGGACAACCATTCAGACCCTCCAAGCAGTGTTCTGGAATCCTATGTTAGGCAGAAACACCCAGGACCCAGCAGCGGTGATCTGTAATGCTTTGTGACGGACAAACAAACAGAACCCAGTAGTAGTGTTCTGGAATCCTATGTGATGGACAAACACTGAGAACCCAGCAGCAGTGTTCTGGCATCCTGTGTGATCGACAAAGTTCAGAGACTCTTAGAGGTGTACTGGAATCCTATGTGAGGGACAAACTCTCAGAAACCAGCAGCAGTGCACAGGAATCCTTTGAGAGGGACAAACATACAGAACCCAGCAGCAGTGTTTTGTAATTAATGTGAGTGACAAGCAATCAGAACGCAGCAGTAGTGTTCTAGAATCCTATGAGAGGGACAAACACTCAGAACCCAGCAGCAGTGTTCTGGAATCCTTTGTGAGGGACAAACATTCAGAACCTCATAGCAGTGTTCTGGTATAGTATGTGTGGAAGAAACCCTCTGAACCCAGAAGCAGTGTTTTGGAATCCCATGTGAGGGACAAACACTCAGAACCCAGCAGCAGTGTTCTGTAATCCCATGTGAGTGAAAAACACTCAGAACCCAGAAGCAGTGTTATAGAATCCTTTGTGAGGGACAAACCTTCAGAACCTGAAAGCAGTGTTCTGGTATCGTATGTGAGGGACAAACACTGAGAACCCAGCCAATGTGTTCTGGAATCCTATCTGAGGGACAAACATTCAGATACTCGTAGAAGTGTTCTGGAATCCTATGTGAGGGACAAAAGCTCAGAACTCCGTAGCAGTCTTCTGGAATCCTATATGAGGGATAAACACTCAGAACCCAGCATGAGTGTTCTGGAATCATATGTGAGGGACAACACTCAGAAGCCAGCAGCAGTGTTCTGGAATCCTAAGTGAGGGAAAAACACTCAGAACCCAGCAGTAGCGTTCTGTAATCCTATGTGAGTGACAGACACTCAGAACCCAGCAGCAATATTCTGGAATCCTTTGTGAGGGAAAATCTTTGAGACTCTCGTAGCATTGTTCTGGAATAGTGTGAGGGAAAAACACTCAGAACCCAGTAAAAGTGTTCTGGAATCTTATGAGAAGGAAAAACACTCAGAACCCAACAGCAATGTTTTGGAATCCTATGTGATCAACAAAGATTCAGAAGTTCATAGCAGTGTTCTGGAATCACATGTGAGGAAGAAACACTCAGAAACCAGCAGTAGTGTTCTGGAATCCTATGTGAGTGACAAACACTCAGAAACCAGCAGTAGTGTTCTAGAATCCTTTGTGAGGCACAGACGTTCAGACGCTCGAAGCAGTGTTCTGGAATCCTATGTGAGGGACAAACACTCAGAACCCAGCAGCAGTGTTCTGGAATACTTTATGAGGGACAAACACTCAGTACCCAGCCACTGTGTTCTATAATACTATCTGAGGGACAAACATTCAGACTTTCGTAGAAGTGTTCTGGAATCCTATGTGAGGGACAAACACTAAGAAACCTGAAGCAGTGCTCTGGAATCCTTTGTGAAGGACAAACAAACACAACCCAACAGCGGTGTTTTGGAATCCTATGTGAGGGAAAAATATTCAGACACTTGTAGCATTGTCGAGGAACCTAATATGAGGGACTAACACTCAGAACCCAGTAGAAGTGTTCTGGAATCCTTAGTGAGGGATAAACATTCAGACACTCGCAGCAGTGTTCTGGAATCCTACGTGAGGGACAAACACTCAGAAAGCAGCAACATTTTTCTGGAATCCTATGTGAGCAAAAAACATTCAGAACTTCGTAGCAGTTTTTTGGAATTCTATGTAAGGGACAAACACTCAGATCCCAGCAGCAGTGTTTCGGAATCCTAAGTGAGGTACAATCCCTCAGAACCAAGAAGCAGGGTTCTGGAATCCTGTCTGAGGGACAAACTTTCAGACACTCTTAGAAGTGTTCTGGAATCCTATGTGAGGGACAAATACTCAGAAACCAGCAGCAGTGCTCTGTAATCCTTTGTGAGGTAGAAACATTCAGAACCTCTCAGCAGTGTTCTGGAATCTTATGTGAGGGACAAACACTCAGAACCCAGCAGCAGTGTTCTGGAATCCTATGTTAGGGGCAAAGACTCAGAACCCAGCAGCTGTTTTCTTGAATTCCTTGTGAGGGACAAACTTTCAGAACCTCGAAGCAGTGTTCTGGAGTCCCACGTGAGGGACAAACACTCAGATCCCAGTAGCAGTGTTCTGGAATCCTTTGGAATGGACAAACATTCAGATGCTCGTAGCATTGTTCTGGAATCCTACGTGAGGGACAAACACTGAGTTCCTAGCCACTGTGTTCTGGAATCCTATTTAATTGACAAACGTTCAGACACTCTCAAAAGCTTTCTGTAATCCTATCTGAGGGACAAACACTCAGAAACCAGCAGCAGTTCTCTGGAATCCTTTGTGAGGGACACTCAGAAACCAGCGGCAGTTCTCTGGAATCCTTTGTGAGGGACAAACACTCAGAAACCAGCGGCAGTTCTCTGGAATCCTTTGTGAGGGACAAACACTCAGAACCCCACAGAAGTGTTCTGGAATCCTTTGTGATGGGCAAACATTCAGAACCTAGTAGCAGTGTTCTGGAATCCTATGTGAGGAACAAACACTCAGAACCCAGCAGCAATCTTCTGGAATACAATGTGAGGGACAAACGCTCAGAACCCAGCAGCAGTGTTTTGGAATCCGGTATGATCGACATAGACTCAGAACTTCTTAGCATTGTTCTGGAATCCCATGTGAGGATCAAACACTCAGAACCCAGCAGCAGTGTTCTGAAATCCTATGTGAGGGAGAAACACTCAGAACCCAGTAGCAGTGTTCTGGAATCCTATGTGAGTGACAAACCCTCAGAAACCAGCAGCAGTGTTCTAGAATCCTCTGTGTGGGACAAATATCCAGAAACTCGAAACAGGGTTCTGGAATCCTATGTATGAAACAAACATTCAGATCCCTGAAGCAGTATTCTGGAATCCTTACTGATGGACAAACATTAAGACCTTCATAGCAGTTTTCTTGAACCCTATGTGAGTGAGAAACGTTCAGAACCCAGCAGCAGTGTTCTGAAATCCTATGTGAGTGACATTCAGATATTCGTAGCTGTATTCTGGAATCCTATGTGGGGGAAAAACACTCAGAACCCAGCCACTGTGTTCTGGAATAATATCTGAGGGACAAACATTCAGACACTCGTAGAAGTATTCTGGAATCTTATTCGTGGGACAATCACTTGGAAACCAGCAGCAGTGCTGTGGAATCCTCTGTGAGGGACAAACACTTAGAACTCAGCAGCAGTGTTCTGGAATCCGTTATGAGGGACAAGCATTCACAACCCCGTAGAATTGTTCTGGAATCCTAAGTGAGGGACAAACACTCAGAAGCCATCAGTACTGTTCTGGAATCCTTTGTGAGAGACAAGCATTCAGAAACTCATAGCAGTGTTCTGGAATCATAAGTGAGGGAAAAACACTCAGAAATCAGCAGCAGTTTTCTGGAATCCTATTTGAGTGACAAACTCTCGGAACCCAGCAGCAGTATTCTGAAATCGTATGTGAGGCAGAAACACTCAGAATCCAGCAGGAGTGTTCTGAAATCCTATGTGAGGTACAAACACTCAGAACCCAGCAGCAGTGTTGTGCAATCCTTTGTGATGGGCAAACATTCAGACACTCGTAGTAGTGGGTAGTGCTCTGGAAACCTTTATGAGGGACAAACAAACAGAACACAGCAACAGTGTTTAGGAAACCTTTGTGAGGGAAAACCATTCAGACACTCGTAGCAGTGTTCTGGAATCCTACATGAGGGAAAACACTCAGAACACAGCAGCAGTCTTCCGGACACCTAAGTGAGGGACAAACTCTCAGATCCCAGAAGCAGTGTTCTGAAATCCTATGTAAGCAACAAACATTCAGAACTTAGAAGCAGTGCTCTGGAATTTCTTGTGAGGGACAAACACTCTGAACTCAGCAGCAGTGTTCTGGAATCCTTTGTCAGGGACAAACATTCAGAACCTCGTAGCAGTGTTCTGGAATCCTAAGTGGAGAACAAACTCTCAGAACACAACAACAGTGTTCTGGAATCCCATGTGAGTGACAAACAGTCAGAACTGAGCAGCAGTGTTCTGGAGTCCTATGTGAGGGACAAACACTCAGAATCCAGCAGCAGTTGTCTGCAATCCTATGTGAGCGACAAACACTCAGAACCTGGACACTATGTACTGGAATCCTATATGAGGGACAAACATTCAGACCCTCGTAGAAGTATTCTGGAATCCTATGTGGGAGACAAACACTAAGAAACCTGCAGCAGTGCTCTGGAATCCTTTGTGAGGGACAAACAGAACCCAGCAACAGTGTTCTGGAATCCTTTGTGAGGGAAAAACATTCAGAACTTAGTAGCAGTGTTCTGGAATCCAATATGAGGAAAAATCATACAGACCCACTTAGCAGTGTTCTGGCATCCTATGTGAGTCACAAACACTCAGAACACAGAAGCAGTGTTCTAGAATCCTCTTTGAGGGACAAACATGCTTACCCTCAAAACAGTGTTCTGGAATCCTATGTGAGGGACAACCACTCAGAACCGAGCAGTAGTGTTGGGCAATCCTTTGTGATGGACAAACATTCAGACCGTTGTAGCAGTGTTCTGGAATCCTATGTGAGGGACAAACACTCAGAACCCTGCAGCAGAGTTCTGGAATCATTTATGAGGGACAAAACTTCAGACCCTCGAAGAAGTGTTCTGGAATCAGATGTGAGGGACAGACACTCAGAACCCAGCCACTGTGTTCTGGAATCCCACCTGAGTGATAAATAATCAGACACTCATAGAAGAGTTCTGGTGTCCTATGTGAGGGACAAACACTCAGAACACAGTAGCAGTCCTCTGGATTACTGTGTGAGGGACAAACACTAAGTACCCAGCAGCAGTGTTTTGTAATCCTTTGTGAGGGACAAACATTCAGAATCTCTTAGTAGTGTTCTGGAATCATATGCGAAGGAGAAACAATCAGAACCCAGAAGCAGTGTTCTGGGATCCCATGTGAGGGACAAACACTCAGAAACCAGCAGCAGGGTTCTGGAATCCTATGTGTTGGAGAAACACTCAGAAACCAGCATTAATTTCTGGAATCCTATGTGAGGGACAAACACTAAGAACCCAGCCACTGTGTTCTGGAATCCTTTGTGATTGACAAACTTTCAGACACTCGTAGCAGTTTTCCGGAATTCTACGTGAAGGACAAACAATCAGAAACCAGCAATCCTGTTCTGGAATCCTTGTGATGGGCAAACAAACAGAACCCCGTGGCAGTGTTTTGGAATCCTATGTGAAGGACAAACACTCAGAACCCAGCAGCAGTGTTCTAGAATCCTATGTGAGGGACAAACACTCAGAACCCAGCATCAGGGTTCTGGAAACTTATCTGAGGGATAAACACTCAGAATGCAACAGCTGTGTTCTGGAATCCTAGATGAGGATCAAACCCTCAGAACCCACCAGCAGTGTTCTGGAATCCTACGTAAGGGACAAACACTCAGAACCCCGCCACTGTGTTCTGGAATCCTATATGAGGGAAAAACATTCAGACATTCATATAAGTGTTCTGGAATCCTATGTGAGGGACAAACACTCAGAACCCAGCAGGAGTGTTCTGGAGTCCTTTCTGAGGGACAAACATTCGGAACCTCATAGCAGTGTTATGGAATCCTATGAGAGGGTGAAATACTCTGAACCCAGCAGCAGTGTACTGGAATCCCATGTGAGTGACAAACACTCAGAACCCAGCAGTGGTGTTCAGGAATCCTATGTGAGTGACAAACACTCAGTACAAAGGAGCAGTGTTCTAGAGTCCTTTGCGACGGACAAAATTCAGACCCTGGATGCAGAGTTCTGGAATCCTCTGTGAGGGACAAACACTCTGAACCCAGGAGCAGTATTCTGGAATCCTTTGCGATGGAAAAACTTTCACACCCTCGTAGCAGTGTCCTGGGATCCTAAGTGAGGGACAAACACTCAGAACCCAGCAGCAGTGTTCTGGAATCCTAGATGAGAGACAAACACTCAGAACACAGCAGCAGTGTTCTGGAATCCTCTGTGAGGGATAAACACTCAGAACCCAGCAGCAGTGTTCTGGAATCCTTTGTGATGGACAAACATTCAGACCCTCGCGACAGTGTTCTGGAATCCTATGTGAAGGGCAAACACTCAGAAATCAGCAGCAGTGTTCTGGAATCCTCTGTGAGGGACAAACACTGAGAACACAGCAGTAGTATGCTGGAATCCTATGTGAGGGACACACACTGAGAACCGAGCAGCAGTGTTCTGGAATCCTATGTGAGGGAAAAACATTCAGACCCTCTTAGTAGTGTTCTGTAATCCTATGTGAGGGACAAACACTCAGAACCCAGCAGCAGTGTTCTGGAATCCTAAGTGAGGGACAAACTCAGAGCCCAGCAGCAGTGGTTTGGAATCCTATGTGAGGGACAAACACTCAGAACCCAGCAGCAGTGTTCTGGAATCCCTTGGGAGTGACAAAGACTCAGAACCCAGCAGCAGAGTTCTACATTCTTTTGTGAGGGACAAACACTCAGAACCCAGCAGCCGTGTTCAGGAATGCTATGTGAGGGAGAAACACTCAGAACCCAGTAGCAGTGTTCTGGTATCCTATATGAGGGACAAACACTCAGAACCCAGCAGAAATGTTCTGGAATCCTATATGAGGGATATACACTCACAATCCAGCAGCAGTGTTCTGGATTCCTATGGGAGGGACAAACATTCAGACCCTCGGAGCAGTGTTCTGGAATCCTATGTGAAGGGCAAACACTCAGAACCCAGTAGCAGTGTTCTGGAATCCTATGTGAGGGACAAGAATTCAGACACTCATAGCAGTGATACGGAATCCTTTGTGAGGGACAAACATTTGGACCCTCGTAGCAGTGTTCTGAAATCCTTTGTGAGGGGCAAACACTCAGAACTCAAAAACAGTGTTCTGCAATCCCTATAAGGGACAAATATTCAGACCCTTACAGCAGTGTTTGGGAATTATATGTGAGGGACAAACACCCAGAAACCAGGAGCAGTGTTCTGGAATCCTTTGTGAGAGACAAACTTTCATACCCTTGTAGCAGTATTCTGGAATCCTACGTGAGGGACAACCTAGCAGCAGTGTTCTGGAATCCAATGTGAGGGACAAACACATACAACCCAGCAACAATGTTCTGGTATCTTATGTGAGGAACAAACACTCAGAATACAGCAGCTGTGATCTGTAATCCCATGTGAGGGACAAACACTCAGAACCCAGCAGCTGTGATCTGTAATCCCATGTGAGGGACAAACACTCAGAACCCAGCAGCAGTGTTTTGGAATCCTGAGTGAGCGACAAAGAATCCGAACTTCGTAGCAGTGTTCACGAAACGCATGTGGGGGACAAACGCTCAGAACCCAGCAGCAGTGTTCTGCAATCCTGTGGGAGGGACAAATACTCAGAACCCAGCAGCAGTGTTATGGGATCGTATGCAAGAGACAAACACTCCGAACCCAGGAGCAGTGTCCTGGAATCCTATGTGAGCACGAACACTCAGAACCCAACAGCAGGGATCTCGAATTCTGGGTGCAGGACAAACACTCAGAACCCAGCAGCAGTGTTCTGGAATCCTATGTGAGGGACAAACACTCAGAAGTCTGCACAGTTTTCTGGAATCCTATCTGAGTGACAAACATTCAGAGACTCGTAGAAGTGTTGTAGAATCCTTTTTGAGGGACAAACAGAAACAGCAGCAGTGTTCTGGAATCCTTTGTGAGAGAAAAACATTCAGACCCTCGCAACAGTGCTCTGGAATCCTATGTGATGGGCAAATACTCACAACCCAGCAGCAGTGTTCTGGAATCCAATGTGAGAGACAAACACTCAGAACCCAGCAGCAGTGTTCTAGAATTTTTTGTGAGGGATAAACATTCAGACAATCGAAGCAGGGTTCTGGAATCCTATGTGAGGGACAACCACTCAGAAACCAGCAGAAGTGCTCTGTAATCCTTTGTGAGGGACAAACAAACAGAACGCAGCAGCAGTGTTCTGGAATCCTATGCCAGGGACAAACACTCAGAAACCAGCAGTAGTGTTCTGGATTCGTTTCTGAGGGACAAACATTCAGGACCTTGTAGCAGTGTTGTGGAATCCCATTTGAGGGACAAATACACTGAACCCAGCAGCAGTGTTCTGGAATCCCATGTTAGGGACAAACACTCAGAAACCAGCAGCCGTGTTCTGGAATCCTATGTCAAGGACAAACTGTCAGAGCCCAGCAGCAGTGTTTTGGGATCCTGTGTGAGTGAAAAAGATTCAGAATTTCATAGCAGTGTTCTGGAATCCCATGTGAGGGAAAAACCCTGAGAACCCAGTGGCAGTATTCTGGAATAGTATGTGAGGGACAAACACTCAGAACCCAGCCACTGTTTTCTCGAATCCTATCTGAGAAACAAACATTCAGACACTCGCAGAAGTGTTCTGTAATCCTACGTGAAGGAAAAATAGGCAGTAACCAGTAACAGTGCTCTGGAATCCTTTGTGAGGGAAAAACATTCAGACCCTCGTAACAGTGTTCTGGAATCCTATGTGACGGAAAACCTCTCAACACCTAGCAGCTGTGTTCTGGAATCCTATTTGAGGGACAAACACTCAAACCCCAGCCACTGTGTTCTGGAATACTATCTGAGGGACAAACATTCAGACACTCATAGAAATTTTGTGGAATCCTATGTGAGGGCAAACACTCAGAAACCAGTAGCAGTGCTCTGGAGTTCTTTGTGAGGGACAAACATAAAGAACCCAGCGCAGTGTTCTGGAATCCTTTCAGAGAGAAAACATTAAGACTCTCGAAAGAATGTTCTGGAATCCTATATGAGGGAGAAACACTCAGAATCCAGCAGTAGAGTTTTGGAATCCTGTGTGAGGGACAAGTATTCAGAATTTCGTGGAAGTGTTCACGAATCAGATGTGAGGGACAAACACTCAGAACCCAGCAGCAGTGTTCTAGAATCCTTTGTGAGGAACAAACACTCACACACTCGAAGCAGTGCTCTGTAATCCTATGTGAGGGACAAAGAATCAGAACCCAGCAGCAGTGTTCTGGAATCCTTTGTGATGAACAAACATTTAGACCCTCGTAACAGTTTTCTGGGATCCCATGAGAGGGACAAACACTCAGAACCCAGTTGCAGTGTTCTGGAATCCTATGTGAGGTACAAACTCTCAGAAACCAGCAGCAGTGTTCTGGAATCCTACTTGAGAGACAAACACTCATAACCCAGCAGCAGTGTTCTTGAATTGTACCTGAGGTACAGACACACAGAACACAGCAGCAGTGTTCTGGAGTCTAATGTGAGGGACAAACATTCCAAACCCTGCAGGAGTGTTCTGGAATCCTGTGTGAGGGACAAAAAACGGAACACAGAAGCAGTGTTCTGGAATCCTATGTGAGTGACAAACATTCAGAACTTCGTAGCAGTGTTCTGGAATCTTATGTGAGGGACAAACACTCAAAACCCAGCTACTGTGTTCTGGAATCCTATCTGAGGGACAAACATTTAGAAACTCGTAGGAGTGTTCTGAAATTCTATGTGAGGGAGAAACACTCAGAAACCAGCAGCAGAGCTCTGGAGTCCTCAGTGAGGGACAAACAAACAGAAAACAGCAGCAGTGTTCTGGAATCCTTTCTGAGAAAAAAACTTTAAGTCCCTCATAAAATTGTTCTGGAATCCTATGTGAGGGACAAACACTCAGAACCCAGCAGTAGTGTTTTGGAATCCTGTGAGAACAACAAATATTCAGAACTTCGCAGCAGTGTTCACGAATATCATGTGAGGGACAAACCCTCAGAACCCAGCAGCAGTGTTCTGGAATCCTAAGTGAGTGACAAACACTAAGAGCCCAGCAGCAGTGTTCTACAATACTTTGTGAGGGATATTCAGACACTCGAAGCAGTGTTCTGGAATCCTATGTGAGGGACACACACTCAGTTCCCAGCAGCAGTGTTCTGGAATCCTTTGTGAAGGAAAAAGATTTAGACCCTCGTAGCAGTGTTCTGGGATCCTATGTGAGGGACAAACACTCAGAACCCATTAGCAGTGTTCTGGAATCCTATGAGAGGGACAAACACTCAGAAACCAGTAACAGTGTTTTGGAATCCTATGTGAGGGACAAACACTCAGAACCCATTAGCAGTGTTCTGGAATCCTATGAGAGGGACAAACACTCAGAACCCAGTAGCAGTGTTTTGGAATCCTATGTGAGGGACAAACACTCAGAACACAGGAACAGTGTTCTGGAATTCTATGTGAGGGATAGACACTCAGAAACCAGCAGCTGTGTTCTGGAATGGTATGTGAGGGACAAACACTCCGAATCCAGCAGCAGTGTTCTGGAATCCTATGTGTACGAGACACATTCAGAACTTCGTAGCTGTGTTCTGGAATCCTATGTAAGGGACAAACCCTGAGAACCAAACCATTGTTTTCTGGATTCCAATCTGAGAGATAAACATTTAGACACTCTTAGAATTATTCTGGAATCCTATGTGAGGGACAAACACTCAGAAACCAACAGCAGTACTGTGGAATCCTTTGTGAGGGACAAACAGAGAGATCCCAACAGTAGTGTTCTGGAATCCTTTCTGAGGCAAAAACATTCAGACACTTGTAGCAGTGTTCTGGAATCCTATGTGAGGGACAAACACTCAGAACCCAGCAGCAGTGTCCTGGAATCCTATGTGCGGTAAAAACACTCAGAACCCAGCAGCAGTGCTTTGGAATCCTGTGTGAGCGACAAGGACTCAGGAATTCATAGCATTGTTCTGGAATTCCATGTAAGAGGCACACACTGAGAACCCAGCAGCACTGTTCTGGAATCCTATGTGAGGGACAAAAACTCAGAACCCAGCAGCAGCGTTCTGGAATCCTATGTGAGGGACAAAAACTCAGAACCCAGCAGCAGCGTTCTGGAATCCTATGTGAAGGACAAATAATCAGAACCTAGCCACTGTGTTCTGGAAACCTCTCTGAGGGACACACATTCAGACATTCATAGAAGTGTTCTGGAATCCTCTGTGGGGGAAAAACATGCAGAAACCAGCAGCTGTGCTCTGGAATCCTTCGTGAGGAAAAACAAACAAATGTAGCAGCAGTGTTCTGGAATCATATTTGAGGGAAAAACATTCAGACATTCGTAGCAGTGTACTGGAATCCTATGTGAGGTACACACACTCAGATCCCAGCAGCAGTGTTCTGGAATCGTTTGTGATGGAAAAAGATTTAGACACTCGTAGCAGTGTCCTGGGATCCTGTGTGAGGGACAAACACTCAGAAACTGGTATCAGTGTTCTGGAACCCTATGTGAGGGACAAACATTCAGAACCCAGCGGCAGTGTTCTGGAATCCTATGTGAGGGACAAACACTCAGAACCCAGCAGCCGTGTTCTGGAATTCTATGTGAGGCACTAACACACAGAATCAAACAGCTGTGTTCTGGAATCGTATGTGAGGGACAAACACTGAGAACCCAACAGCAGTGCTCTGTAATCCTTTGGGAGGAACAAACAAACAGAAACCAGCAGCAGTGCTCTGGAATCCTATGGGAGGGTTAAACACTCAGAACCAAGCAGCAGTGTTCTGGAATCCTACGTGAGGGGCAAACACTAAGAATCCAGCCACTGTGCTCTGGAATCCTTTCGGAGGGACAAACATTCAGACAATCGCAGAAGTGTTCTGGAATCCTATGTGAGGGACAAACACTCAGAAACCATCAGCGGCGCTATGGAATCCTTTGTGAGGGACAAACAGAATCCAGCAGCCGTGTTCTGGAAACATTTGTGAGGGAAAAACATTCAGACACTCAAAGCAGTGTTCCGGAATCCCATGTGAGGGGCAAACACTCAGAACCCAGCAGCAGTGTTCTAGAATCTTTTGTGAGGGACAAACCTTCAGACACTCGAAGCAGTGTTCTGGAATCCTATGTGAAGGACCAACACTCAGAAACCAGCAGCAGTGCTCTGTAATCCTTTGTGCAGGGCAAACACACAGAACCCTGTAGCAGTGTTCTTGAATCCTATGTGAGGTACAAACTCTCAGAACCCAGGAGTAGTGTTGTGGAATCGATTGTGAGGGACAAACATTCAGAATCTTGTAACAGTGTTTTGGAATCCTATGTGAGGGACAAACACTGTGAACCCAGTAGCAGTGTTCTGGTATCCTATGTGAGGAACAAACACCCAGAACACAGCAGTCGTGTTCTGGAATCCTATGTGAGGGACACACACTCAGAATCCAGCAGCAGTGCTTTGTAATCCTTTGTGAGGAACTAACAAACAGATCCCACTAGCAGTGTTTTGGAATCCTATGTGAGGGACAAACCCTCAGAACCCAGCAGCAGTGTTCTGGAATCCTTTGTGAAGGACAAACATTCAGAAGCTCTTAGCAGAGTTCTGGAAACCTATGTGTGGGAAAAACTCTCTTAACCCTGCAACAGTGTTCTGGAATTCCTTGTGAGGAACAAACACTCAGCACCCAGCAGCCGTGTTCTGGAGTCTTATGTGAGTGACAAACACTCAGAACCCAGCAGCAGTGTTCTAGAATACTTTGTGAGGGACAAACATTCAGACACCCGAAGCAGTGTTCTGGAATCCTATGTGAGGAACAAACACTAGGAACCCAGCAGCAGTGTTCTGGAATCCTATGTGTGGTGAAAACACTCAGAACCCTGCAGCAGTGATTTGGAATCCTGTGCAAGTGACAAAGATTCAGAACTTCGTAGCAGTGTTCTGCAATCCTATGTGAGGGACAAAGACTCAGAACTCAGCAGCAGTGTTCTGTAATCCTTTGTGAGGGACAAACACTCAGAACTCAGCAGCAGTGTCCTAGAATCCTAGGTGAGGGACAAACAGTCAGAACCCAACCACTGTGATCTGGAATCCTATCTTAGAGACAAACATTCAGACACTCATAGAAGTGTTCTGGAATCCTATGTGAGGGAAAAACATGTAGAACCCAGCAGCTGTGCTCTGGAATCCTTTGTGAGGAAAAACAAACAAAACCAGTAGCAGTGTTTAGGAATCATTTTTGAGGGAAAAACATTCGGACCCTCGTAGCTGTGTTCTGGAATCCTATGTGAGGGACAAACTCTCAGAACCCAACAGCAGTGTTCTGGAAACCTATGTAAGGGACAAACACTCAGAACACAGCAGCAGTGCTGTGGAATCCTTCATGAGGGAAAAACATTCAGAACCTGGTGGCAATGTTCTTTAATCCTATGAGAGGGACAAACACTCAGAATCCTACAGAAGTGTTCTCGAATCCTATGTGAGGGACAAACACATAGAACACTACAGCAGTGTTCTGGAATCCTATGTGAGCGACAAACATTAAGAACTTCGCAGCAATGCTCTGGAATCGTATATGAGGGACAAAGACTCAAAACCCAGCCTCTGTATTCTGGAATCCTATATGCGGGACAAACATTCAGACACTCGGAGAATTGTTCTGCAATCCTTCGTGAGGGACAAACACTGAGAAACTAGCACCAGTGCTCTGGAGTCCTTTGTGAGGGATAAACAAACAGAACCTAGCGGCAGTGTTCCGGAATGCTTTCTGAGAGAAAAACATTAAGACCCTCGTAACAGTGTTCTGGGATCCTATGTGAGGGACGAACACTCAGGACCCTGCAGCACTGTTTTGGAATCCTGTGTGAGCGACCAAGATTCAGAAATTCGTAGCAGTGTTCACGAATTCCATGTCAGGGACAAACACTCAGAACCCAGCTGCAGTGTTCTGGAATCCTTTGTGAGGGAAAAATATTCAGAACCTCGTAGCAGTGTTTTGGAATCCTACGTGAGTGACAAACACTCAGAAGCCTGCAACAGCGTTCTAGAATCTTTTGTGAGGGACAAACACTCAGAACCTCATAGCAGTGTTCTGTAATCCTATGTGAGGGACAAACACTCAAAATCCAGCCACTGTGTACTGGAATCCTGTGTGAGATCAAACATTCAGAAGCTCGTAGAATTGTTCTGCAATGCTATGTGAGGGCCAAACACTAAGAAATCTGCTGCAGTGCTCTGGAATCCTTTGTTAGGGAAAAACAAACAGAACCCAGTAGCAGTGCTCTACAGTCTTTTGTGAGGGAAAAACATTCAGACCCTAGTAGCAGTGTTCTGGAATCCTATGTGAGGGAAAAACATTCAGACCCTCGTAGCAGTGTCCTAGAATCCTATATGAGGGACAAACACTCAGAACCCAGCAGCAGTATTCTGAAATCCTTTGGGAGGGAAAAACATTCACACCATCGTAACAGTGTTTTGGAATCCTACGTGAGAGAAAAATATTCAGACTATCGTAGCGTTGTTCTGAAATCCAGTATAAGGAATAAACACTCAGAACCCAGTAGCAGTGTTCTGGAACCCTTTGTGATGGATAAACATTCTGACCCTCGTAGTAGTGTTCTGGAATCCTACGTGAGGGACAAACACTCAGAACCCAGCAGCACTGTTCTGGAATGCTATGTGAGGGACAAACACTCAGAACGCAGTAGCAGTGTTCCAGAATCCTATGTGAGCAACAAACTTTCAGAACTTCGTAGTAGTGTTCTGGAATCGTAAGTGAGGGACAAACGCTCAGAACCCAGCAGCAGAGTTCTGGAATCCCATGTGATGGACAAACACTCAGAACCCAGCAGCAGTGTTCTAGAATCTTTGTGAGGGACAAACATTCAGAATCTTGTAGCAGTGTTCTAGAATCCTATTTATGGGACAAACAGTCAGAATACAGCCACTGTGTACTGGAATTCTATCTGAGGGCAAACATTCAGAACCTTGTAGAAGTGTTCTGGAATCATATGTGAGGGACAAACACTTAGAAATCTCCAACAGTGCTCTGGAATCCTCTGAGGGACAAACCCACAGAACCCAGTAGCAGTGTTCTACAATCCTTGGTGAGGAAAAAACATTCAGACCCTCGTAGCAGTGTTCTGGAATCCTATCTGAGGGACAAACACACAGAACCCAGTAGCAGTGTTCTACAATCCTTGGTGAGGAAAAAACATTCAGACCCTCGTAGCAGTGTTCTGGAATCCTATCTGAGGGACAAACACTCAGTACCCAGCAGCAGTGTTCTAGAATCCTTTGGGAGGGAATAACATTCACACCGTCATAACAGTATTCTGGAATTCTGTGTGAGGGAAAAACATTCAGACCCTCGTAGCATTGCTCTGGAATCCCATATGAGGGACTAACACTCAGAACCCAGCAGCAATGTTCTGGAACCCTTTGTGAGGAAAAAACATTCAGACCCTCGTAGCAGTGTTCTAGAATCC
Source organism: Homo sapiens (assembly GCF_000001405.40). Lineage (NCBI taxonomy): Eukaryota > Metazoa > Chordata > Mammalia > Primates > Hominidae > Homo > Homo sapiens. Next base: position 18,504,399 of record NC_000014.9, on the reverse strand, counting down.
TATGTGAGGGACAAACACTCAGAACCCAGCAGCAGTGTTCTGGAATCCTAAGTGAGGGAGAAGCACTCAGAATCCAGACACTGTGTACAGGACTCCTGCCTGAGGGGAAACATTGAGAACCTCTAGAAGTGTTCTGCAATCCTATGTGAGGGACAAACACTAAGAAATCTGCAGCAGTGTTCTGTAGTTTTTTTGTGAGGAAGAAACAAACAGAACCCAGAAGCAGTGTTCTACAATCCTTTCTGAGTGAAAAACATTCCGATCCTTGTAACAGTTTTCTGGAATCTTATATGAGGCACAAACTCTCAGAAGCCAGCAGCAGTGTTCTGGAATCCTTTGGGAGTGAAAAACATTCACACCCTCGTAACAGTGTTCTGGAATCCTGTGTGAGCAAAAAACATTCAGACCGTCGTAGCATTTTTCTGGAATCCAACATGAGGCAGAAACTCTCAGATCCCAGTAGCAGTGTTCTGGAAACCTTTGTGAGGGATAAACATTCAGACCCTAGTAGCCGTGTTCTGGAAACATATGTGAGGGACAAACACACAGAACCCAGCAGCTGTGTTCTTGAATCTTATGTGAGGGACAAACACTCCTGACCCGGCAGCAGTGTTCTGGAATCCTAAGAGAGGGACGGACACTCAGAAAACAGCAACAGTGTTCAGGAATCATATGTGAGTGAAAAACACTCAGAATCCAGTAACTGCATACTGGAATTCTATCTGAGGGCAAATATTTAGAACCTCGTAGAAGTGTTCTGGAATCCTATGTGAGGGAAAAACATTCAGACCATCATAGCAGTGTTCTGAAATCCTATATGAGGGACAAACACTCAGAACCCAGCATCAGTGTTCTGGAATACTTTGGAAGGGAAAACCTTTCACATCTTCCTAACAGTGTTCTGGAATCCTATGTGAGGGAAATACATTTAGAATCTCGTAGCATTGTTCTGGAATCCAATATGAGGGACAAACAATCAGAGCCCAGTAGCAGTGTTCTGGAACCCTTTGTGAGGGATAAACATTCAGAGCCTCGTAACAGCGTTCTGAAATCGTATGTGAGAGACAAACACTCAGAACCCAGGAGCAGTGTTTTGGAAAGCTATGTGAGTGACAAACTTTCAGAACTTCGTAGCAGTGTTCTGGAATTCTATGTGAGGAAGAAACACTCAGAACGCAGCAGCACTGTCCTGGAATCCTAAGTGAGGGACAAACACTCAGAACACAGCAGCAGTGTTCTGGAATCCTATCTGAGGGACAAACACTCAGAACCCAGAAGCAGTGTTCTAGAATCCTTTGTGAGGGACAAACACTCAGAACCCAGCAGCAGTGTTCTAGAATCCTTTGTGAGGGACAAACATTGAGAACCTTGTTGCACTGTTCTGGAATTCTACGTGAATGAGAAACACTCAGAATTCAGCCACTGTGTACTGGAATCATATCTGAGGGCAAACATTCAGACCCTTGTAGCAGTGTTCTGGAATCCTATGTGAGGGCAAACACTCAGAACCCAGCAGTAGTGTTCTGGAATCCCATGAGAGAGACAAACACTCAGAAACCAGCAGAAGTCTTCTGGATTCCTATGTGAGCGAAAACCTTTTAGATCTTCGTGGCATTGTTCTGGAATTCTATGTGAGGGACAAACACTCAGAACCCAGCAGCAATGTTCTGGAATCCTAGGTAAGAGACAAACGCTTAGAACTCAGCAGCAGTGTCCTGGAATCCTATGGGAGGGACAAACACTCAGAACCCAGTAGCAGTGTTGTAGAATCCTTTGTGAGGGACAAACATTCATAACCTTGTAGCAGTGTTCTGGAATCCTATGTGAGGGAGAAACACTCAGAATCCAGCCACTGTGTACTGGAATCCTATCTGAGGACAAACATTCAGAACTTCGTAGAAGTGTTCTGGAATCCTATGTGAGGGAGAAACACTAAGAAACCTGCAGCAGTAGTCTGGAATCCTTTGTGAGGGACAAATAAACAGAACCCAGTAGCAGTGTTCTAAAGTCCCTTGTGAGGGAAAAATATTCAGACCTTCGTAGCAGTGTTCTGGAATCCTATGTGAGGGAAAAACATTTAGACCCTCGTAGCAGAGTCCTGGAATCCTATATGAGGGACAAACACTCAGAACCCAGCAGCAGTGTTCTGGAATTCTTTGGGAGGGAAAAATATTGACACCCTCATAACAGTGTTCTGGAATCCTATGTGAGAGAAAAACATTCAAACCCTCATAGCATTATTCTGGAATCCAATATGAGGGACAAACAGTCAGAACGCAATAACAGAGTTTTGGAACCCTTTGTGAGGGATAAACGTTCAGACCCTCGAAGCAGTGTGCTGGAATCCTATGTGAGGGGCAAACACTCAGAATCCAGCAGCAGTGTTCTGGAATCCTTTCTGAGGGACAAGAACTCTGAACCCAGCAGAAGTGTTCTGGAATCCTATGTGAGGGAAAAACATTCAAACCCTCTTAGCATTGTTCTGGAATCCAATATGAGGGACAAACAGTCAGAACGCAATAACAGTGTTTCGGAACCCTTTGTGAGGGATAAATATTCAGCCCCTCGAAGCAGTGTGCTGGAATCCTATGTGAGGGACAAACACTCAGAACCCAACAGCAGTGTTCTGGAATCCTTTGGGAGGGAAAAACATTTACAGCCTCGTAACAGTGTTCTGGAATCCTATGTGAGGGAAAAACATTCAGACTCTCATAGCATTTTTCTGTAATCCAATATGAGGGACAGAGACTGAGACCCAGCAGTAGTGTTTTGGAATCCTGTGTGAGGGACAAACCCTCAGAAACCAGCAGCAGTGTTCTAGAATCCTATGTGAGTGACAAACAGTCTGAACCCAGAAGCAGTGTTCTGGAATCCTATGTGAGGGACAAACACTCAGAATCCAGCAGCAGTGTTCTGGAATCCTATGTGAAGGACAAACACTCAGAATCCAGCAGCAGTGTTCTGGAATCCTATGTGAGGGACAAACACTCAGAATCCAGCAGCAGTGTTCTGGAATCCCTTCTGAGGGACAAGCACTCCGAACCCAGCAGAAGTGTTCTGGAATCCTCTGTGAGGGAAAAGCATTCAGAAGCTCATAGCAGTGTTGTGGAATCGTTTTTGAGAGACAAACACTCAGAACGCGGCAGCAGTGTTCTGGAATCCTTTGTGTCAGACAAACATTCAGACAGTTGTGGCAGTGTTCTGGTATCCTATGTGAGGGACAAACACTCAGATCCAGCAGCATTGTTCCTGAATCCTTTTTGATGGACAAACATTCAGATCCCCCTGCAGTTTTCTGGAATCCTATGTAAGGGACAAACACTCAGAACCCAGCAGCAGTGTTCTGGAATCGTATGTGAGGGACAAACTCTCAGAACCCAGCAGCCGTGTTCTGGAATCCTATGTGAGAGACAAACTCTTAGAACCCAGGGGCAGTGTTCTAGAGTCCTTTGTATGGGACAAACATTCAGAAACTCTCAGCAGTGTTCTGGAAGCGTAAGTGAAGGACAAACACTCTGAACCCAGCAGAAGTGTTTTGGAATCCCTTGTGAGGCACAAACACTCAGAACCCAGCAGCAGTGTTCTGGAATTCTATGTGAGTGACAAACACTCAGAACCCAGCAGCACTGTTCTAGATTCCTTTGTGAGGGACAAATCTTCAGACCCTCGAAACAGTGTTCTGAAATCCTATGTGAGGGAACAACACTCAGAACCCAGCCACTGTGTGCTGGAATCCTGTCTGAGGGACAAACATTCAAACACTCATAGAAGTGTTCTGGAATCTTATGTGAGTGATAAGCAATCAGAAACCAGCAGCGGTGCTCTGTAATCCTTTGTGAGGGACAAACAAACAGTACACAGGAGCAGAGTTCTGGAGTCCTATGTGAGGGACAAACTCTCATGACCCAGCAGCAGTGTTCTGGAATCCCTTGTGAGGGCCAAACACTCAGAACCTAGTAGCAGTGTTCTGGAATCTTATGTGATGGAAAAACACTCTGAACCCAGCAGCAGTGTTCTGGAATCCTATATGAGGGAGAAAAACTCAGAACCTGCAGCAGTGTTCTGGAATCCTTAGTGAGGGAGAAACATTCAGAACCTCATATCAGTGTTATGGAATCGTATGTGAGGGACAAACACTCTGAAACCAGCAGCAGTGTTCTGGAATCCCATGTGAGAGACAAACACTGAGAATCCAGCAGCAGTGTTCTGGAATCCTATGTGTGTGAGAAACACCCAGAAACCAGCAGCGTAGTACTGGAATCCTTTGTTAGGGGCTAACATTCAGAACCTAGAAGCTGTGTTCTGGAATCCTATGTGAGGGACAAACACTCCTATCCCAGTAGCAATGTTCTGCAATTCTTTGTGACGGACAAATATTCAGACCCTCGTAGCAGTTTTCAGGAATCCTAGGTGAGAGACAAACACTCAGAACCCAGCAGAAATGTTCTGGGATCCTATGTGAGGGGCAAATACTTGGAATCCAGCAGCACTGTTCTTGAAACCTATGTGAGGGACAAACACTCACAACGCAGCCACTGTGTACCAGAATCCTATTTGAGTGTCAAACCTTCAGACCCTAGTAGAAGTGTTCTGGAATCCTATGTGAAGGACAAACTCTAAATAACCAGCAGCAGTGCTCTGGAATCCTTTGGGAGAGAAAAACACTCAGACCCCCCTAGCAGTGTTCTGGGATCCTATGTGAGGGAAAAACGTTCAGACCCGCATAGCAGTGTTCTGGAATCCTATATGAGTGACAAACACTCAGAACCCACCAGCAGTGTTCTGAATCTTTTGTGAGGTAAAAACACTCAGACCCTCAAAGCAGTGTTCTGGAATCCTGCGTGATGGAAAAACATTCAGACCTTCGTAGCTGTGTTCTGGAATCCTATGTGAGGGAGAAACATTCAGTCCCTCAATAGCATTGTTCTGGAATCCAATATGAGGGACAAACACTCAGAACCCAGCAGCTGTATTCTGGAATGCCATGTGAGGGAAAAAGACTCAGAACCCAGCAGCAGTGTTCTGGAATCCTGTCTGAGGAATAACCCCTGGGAACCCAGACACTGTGTACTGGAATCTTATATTAGGGACACATATTCAGACACTCGTAGAAGTGTTCTGGAATACTATGTGAGGGACAAACACTAAGAAAACAGCAGCAGGGCTTTGGAATCCTTTGTGAGGGACAAAAAAACAGAACCCATCAGCAGTGTTCTGGAATAATTGTGAGGGAAAAACATTCAGGTCCTAGTAACAGTGTTCTGGAATCCTATGTGAGGTAAAAACATTCAGACCCTCATAGCAGTGGTCTGGAATCGTATGTGAGAGACAAACCCTCACAACCCAGCAGCAGTGTTCTGCAATCCTATGTGAGCGACGAACATTGAGAACTTCGTAGCAGTGTTCTGATATTCTATGTGAGAGCAAACACTCACAACCCAGCAGCACTGCTCTGGAATCGTATGTGAGGGACAACAACTCAGAACCCAGCAGCCGTGTTCTGGAAACCTACGTGAGGGACAAAATCTCAGAGCTCAGCAGCAGTGTTCTGCAATCCTATGTGCGTGACAAATACTCAGAACCCAGCAGCAGTGTTCTGGAATCTTTGTGAGGGACAAACACTAGAACCCAGCAGCAGTGTTCTAGAGTCCTTTGTGAGGGACAAACATTCAGAAACTCTCTTCAGTGTTCTGGAATCTTAGGTGAGGGACAAACACACTGAACCCAGCAGCATTGTTTTGGAATCCCATGTGAGGCAGAAACACTCAGAACTCAGCAGCAGTGTTCTGGAATCCTATGTGAGTGAAAAACACTCAGAACCCAGCAGCAGTGTTCTAGAATCCTTTGTGGGCAAAAAACCTTCAGACCCTAGAATCAGTGTTCTGGAATCCTATGTGATGAACAAACACTCAGAACCCAGCAGCAGTGTTTTTGATTCCTTTGTTTTGGAGAAACATTCAGACCATTGTAGCACTGTTCCACTATCCTATGTGAGGGACAAACTCTCAGAACCCAGTAGCAGTGCTCTAGAATCCTATGTGAGGGACAAACACTCAGAACCCAGCAGCAGGGTTCTGGAATCCTATGTGAGGGTCAAACACTCAGAAGGCAGCAGCAGTGTTCTGGAATCCTATGTGAGGGAGAAACACTCAGAACCCAGTCACTGTGTGCTGGAATCCTATGTGAGGGAGAAACATTCAGAACCCAGTCACTGTGTGCTGGAATCCTATCTCAAGGACAAACATTCAGACCATTGTAGCACTGTTCCACTATCCTATGTGAGGGACAAACTCTCAGAACCCAGTAGCAGTGCTCTAGAATCCTATGTGAGGGACAAACACTCAGAACCCAGCAGCAGGGTTCTGGAATCCTATGTGAGGGTCAAACACTCAGAAGGCAGCAGCAGTATTCTGGAATCCTATGTGAGGGAGAAACATTCAGAACCCAGTCACTGTGTGCTGGAATCCTATGTGAGGGAGAAACACTCACAACTCAGTCACTGTGTGCTGGAATCCTATCTGAGGGACAAACATTCAGACATGTGTAGAAGTGTCCTGGAATCCTATGTGAGGGACAAACACTGAGAACCCAGCAGCAGAGTTCTAGAATTCTTTGTGAAGACAAACATTCAGACACTCGAAGCAGTGTCCTAGAATCCTATGTGAGGGACAAACACTTAGAACCCAGCAGAATTGTTCTGGAATCCTTTGTGATGGACAAACATTCAGGCCCTCGTGGCAGTGTTCTGGAAACCTAAGTGAGGGGCAAACACTCAGAATTCAGCAGCAGTGTTCTGGAATCCTATGTGACTGACAAACACTCAGAACCCTGCAGCAATGTTATGAAATCCTGTGTGAGGTGCAAACACTCAGAACCCACCATCAATGCTCTGCAATCCTATGTGAGGAAGAAACACTCAGAAACCTGCAGCAGTGTTCTGGAATCCTATATATGGGTCAATAATTCAGACCATCATAGCACTGTTCTGGAATGCTCTGTGAGGGACAAACATTCAGAAACTTGTAGCAGAGTTCTGGAATCCTATGTGAGGGAGAAACCCTCAGAACCTAGCAGTAGTGTTCTGGAATCATATGTGAGGGACTAACACTCAGAACCCAGCCGCAGTGTTCTGGAATGCTATGTGAGGGACAAACACTCAAAACCAAGCAGCAGAGTTCTGTTATCCTATATGAGACAAACACTTGGAACCCAGCAGAACTGTTATGGAATCCTATGTGAGGGACAAACACTCACAATCAAGCAGCTTTTTACTGGAATCCTATGTGAGGGAGAAATCTTCAGAACCTAGCAGCAGTGTTCTGGAATCGTATGTGTGGGACTGACACTCAGAACCCAGCAGCATGTTGAGGAATGCTATGTGAGGGAGAAACACACAAAACCCACCAGCAGTGTTCTGGTTTAATATATGCGGGACAAACACACAGAACCCAGCAGAAGTGTTCTGTAATCCCATGTGAGAGACAAACACTCACAAACCAGCAGCAATGTTTTGGAATCCTTTGTGAAGGACAAACATTCAAAACCTCGTAGAAGTGCTCTGCAATCCTATGTGAGGGACAACACTCTGAACCCAGCAGCAATGTTTTCGAATCCCATGAAAGGGACAAACACTCAGAACTCGGCAGCATTTTTCTGGAATCCTATGTGAGTGACAAACTCTCAGAACACAGCAGCGGTGTTCTAGAATCCTTTGTGGGGGACAAACATTCAGATGATCATAGCAGTGTTCTGGTATCTCATGTGAGGGACAAACACTCGGAAACCAGCAGCAGTGTTCTGGATTCCTTTTTGGGGGACAAACAAACCGAGAAGGAGGGTTCTGGAATCCTACACTAAGAACCCAGGAGCAGTGTTCTGCAATCCTATATGAGGGACAAACACTACTAACCCTTTAGCAGTGTTCTAGAATCCTTTGTGAGGGAAAAACATTCAGACCCTCGAATCAGTGTTCTGGAATCCTATGTGGGGGACAAACGCTCAGAACCCAGCAGCAGTTTTCTGGAATCTTTTCAGACAGACAAACCTTTAGACGATCTTAGCAGTGTTCTGTTATCCTATGTAAGGGACAAACACTCAGAACCCAGCAGCAGTGCTCTGGATTCCTTTGTGGGGGACGAGCACTCAGAACCCAGGAGCAGTGTTCTGGAATCCTATGTGAGGGACAAACACTCAGAATCCAGCAGCAGTGTTCTGGAATCTTAAGTGAGGGACAGACACTCACAACCCAGCAGCAGTGTTCTAGAATCCTTTGTGAGGGACAAACATCCAGACCCTGGAAGCAGTGTTCTGGAATCCTATGTGAGGAGCAAACACTCAGAACACAGCATCAGTGTTCTGGAATCCTATGTGAGTGACAAACTCTCAGAACCCAGGAGCAGTGTTCTATAATCCATTGTGAGGGACAAACATTCAAACTCTCGAAGCATTTTTCTGGATTCCTATGTGAGGGACACACACTCAGAACCCAGCAACAGTGTTCTGGAATCCTATGTGTGGGACAAACACTCAGAAACCAGCAGCAGTGTTCTGGAATCCTACGTGAGGGACAAACACTCAGAACACAGCCTCTGTGTACTGGAATCTATCTGAGTGACAACATTCAGACTCTTGCAGAAGTGTTCTGGAATCCTATGTGATGGACAAACACTAACAAACTAGCAGCAGCGCTCTGGAATTCTTTGTGATGGACAATCATTCAGAGACTCGTAGCAGTGTTCTGGAATCGTATGTGAGGTACAAACACTCAAAACTCAGCAGCAGTGTTCTGGAATTCTATTTGAGGGACAAACTCTCAGAACCCAGCAGCCGTGCTGTGAAATGATATGTGAGGGACAGACACTCAGAACCCAACAGCAGAGTTCTGGTATCCTAAGTGAGGGACAAACACTCAGAACCCTGCAGAAGTATTCTGGAATCGTATGTGAGGGACAAACACTCAAAATCCAGAAGCAGTGTTCTGGAATCCTATGTGAGGGACAAACACTCACACCCTCAGAGGAGTGTTCTGGAATCCTATGTGAAGGACAAACACTCAGAACCCAGTAGCAGTGTTCTGGAATCCGGTGTGAAGGACAAGCGTTCAGACACTCGTAGCAGTGATATGGAGTTCTTTGTGAGGGACAAACATTCAGACACACTTAGCAGTGTTCTGGAATCCTAAGTGAGAGAGAAACCCTCAAAAACAAGCTGCAGTGTTCTAGAAATCTATGTGAGGGACAATCCCTCAGTATCGAGCGGCAGTGTTTTGGAATCCTATCTGAGGGACAAACACTCAGAACTCAGCAGCAGTGTTCTGGAATCCTGTGTGAAGGAGAAACACTCAGAACCCAACAGCAGTGTTCTGATTCCCGAAGTGTGGGACAATCACTCAAAACCCAGCCACTGTGTTCTGGAATCCTATCTGAGGGTCAAATATTGGGAACCTCGGGGAAGAGTTCTGGAATCCTATGTGAGGGAAAAACACTCAGAAACCAGCAGAAGTGTTCTGGAATCCTTTGTGAGGGACAAACACTGAGAAATCAAGAGCCGTGTTCTGGCATCCTATGTAAGCGACAAACACTCTGAACCCAGCAGCAGTGTTTTTGAATCCCACGTGAGCGACAAACACTCAGAACCCAAAAGCAGTGTTCTGGAATACTTTTTGAGGGACAATCATTCAGAACCTTGTAGCTGTGTTCTGGAATCATATGTGAGGGCCGAACACTTTGAACCCAGCTGCAGTGTTTTTGATTCCCCTGTGAAGGAAAAACACTCAGAACCCAGCAGCAGTGTTCTAGAATCCTTTGTGTGGGACTAACATTCAGACCCTCCAAGCAGTGTTTTGGGTCTATGTGAGGGACAAACACTGAGAACCCAGCTGCAGTATTCTGCAATCCTTTGTGACGGAGAAACACTCAGACCATCGTAGCAGTGTTCTGGCATCCTATGTGCGGGAAAAACACTCAGAAACCAGCATCAGTGCTCTGGATTCCTTTGTGAGGGACAAACAAACAGAACCCAGCAGCAGAGTTCTGGAATCCTATGTTGGGGACAAACACTCAGAACCCATCAGCAGTGGTCAGAAATAATTTGTGAGGGACAAACATTCAGAACCTAGTAGCAGTGTTCTGGAATAGTATGTGAGGGACAAACACTCTGAACCCAGTGGCAGTCTTTTGGAATCACACGTGAGGGACAAAACTCAGAACCAAGCAGCAATGTTCTGGAATACCATGTGAGAGACAAACACTCAGAACCCAGCAGCAGTGTTCTGGAATCTTATTTGAGTGACAAACACTGAGAACCCGGCAGCAGTGTTCTAGAGTCCTTTATGAGAGACAAACTTGCAGACCCACGCAGTCTTCTGGAATCCTATGTGAGAGACAAACCCTCAGAACCCAGAAGCAATGTTCTGCAATCCTTTTTGTTGGACAAACATTCAGACCCTCGTAGCAGTGTTCCAGAATCCTATGTGAGGAACAAACACTCAGAACCCAGCAGTAGTGTTCGGGAATCCTATGGGAGGGACAACCATTCCGAATCCAGCAGCAGTGTTGTGTAATCCTATGTGAGGGACAAACACTCAGAACCCAGCAGCTGTGTTCTGGAAACCTATGTGAGGGAAAATCACTTAGAACCCAGTCATTGTGCTCTGGAATCCTATCTGAGGGAGAAATATTCAAACACTCGTAGAAGAGTTCTGGAATCCTATGTGAGGGAAAAACCCTCAGAAGCCAGCAGCAGTGCTCTGGAATCCTTTGTGAGGGACAAACAATCAGAACCCAGAAGCAGTGTTCTTGAATCTTTCGTGAGGGAAAAACATTCAGACCCTCGTAATAGTATTTTGGAATCCTATCTGAGGGACAAACACTCGGAACCCAGCAGCTGTGTTCTGGAATCCTATGTGTGGGACAAACACTTAGAACCCAGCACAATATTCTGGAATACTACGTGAGCGACAAACTTTCAGAAGTTTGTAGCAGTGTTCTGGAATTCTATGTGAGGGACAAACACTGAGAACCCAGCAGCAGCGTTCTGGATTCCTAAGTGAGGGACAAACATTCAGAACCCAGCAGCAGTGTTCTGGTATCCTATGTGAGGGACAAACACTCAGAACCCAGCAGCAGTGTTCTACAATCCTTTGTGAGGAAAAAATATTCAAACCCTCATAGCAGTGTTCTGGAATCCTATGTGATAGAAAAACATTCATACCCTCATAGCAGTGTTCTGGGATCCTATATGAGGGACAAACACACAGAACCCACCAGCAGCGCTCGGGAAACCACACTCTCCTAATAGTGTTCTTGAATCCCATGTGAGGGAGAAACCTTCATACCCTCGTAGCATTGTTCTGGAATCCAATATGAGGGACAAACACTCAGAACCCAGTAGCAGTGTTCTGGAACCTTTATTGAGGGATAAACATTCAGACCGTCATAGCAGTGTGCTGGAATCCTATGTGAGGGACAAATGCTCCGAACCCAGCAGCAGTGGTTTGGAGTCCTATGTGAGGGACAAACACTCTGAGCCCAGCAGCAGTGTTCTGGAATCCTCTGTGAGGGACAAACTTTCACAACTTCGTAGCAGTGTTCTGGAATTCTACGTGAGGTACAAACACTCAGAACCCAGCAGCAGTGTTCTGGAATCCTTTGTGAGGAACAAACATTCGGAACCTCATAGCAATGTTCAGGAATCGTACGTAAGGGACAAACACTCAGAACACAGCAGCAGTGTTCTGCAATCCCATATGAGGGACAAACACTCAGAACCCAGCTGCAATGTTCTGTAATCCTGTTTGAGCGACAAAGACTCAGAAACCAGCAGCACTGTTCAAGAATCCTTTTTGTGTGACAAACATTCTGAACCTCAAAGCAGTGTTCTGGAATCCTACGTGAGGGACAAACACCACAATCCCTGCAGCAGTTTTCTGGAATCCTTTGTGATGGACAAACATTCAGACCCTCGTAGCAGTTTTTCAGAATCCTATGTGTGGGACAAACACTCAGAACACAGCAACAGTGGTCTAGAATCCTTTGTGTGGGACAAAGATTCAGAACCCAGCAGCAGTGTTCTGGAATCCTATGTGAGGTACAAACACTCAGAAACAGTGGCTGTGTACTGGATTCCACTGTGTACTGGAAACCTATCTGAAGGAAAAACATTCCGAACTTCGTAGAAGTTTTCTGGAATCCTGTGTGACGGACAAACACTAAGAAATCTGCAGCAGTGTTCTAGAATCCTTTCTGAGGGACAAACAAACAGAACCCAGGAGCAGTGTGCTGCTATCCTTTTGAGGGAAAAACTTTCACATCCTTATAGCAGTGTTCTGGAAACCTATGTGAGGGAAAGAAATTCAGACCCTCGTAGCAGTGCTCTGGAATCCTATATGAGGGACAAACACTCAGAACCCAGCAGCAGTCTTCTGGAATCCTTTGGGAGGGAAAAACATTCACACCCTCGTAAAAGTGTTCTGGAATCCTATGTGAAGGAAAAACATTCAGACCCTCGTAGCATTGTTCTGGAATCTAATATGAGGGACAAACAGTCAGAACCCAGTTGCAGTGTTCTGGATCCCTCTGTAAGTGATAAACATTCAGACCCTCGTAGCAGTATTCTGTAATCTTCTGTGAGGGACAAACACTCAAAACCCAGCAGCAGTGTTCTGGAATCCTATGTGAGCGACAAACTATCAGAACTTCGTAGCATTGTTCTGGAATTCTATGTGAAGAACAAACATTCAGCACCCAACAGTAGTGTTCTGGAATCCTAATTGAGGGAAAACCACTCAGAACCCAGCATCAGTGTTCTGGAATCCTATGTGGGGGACAAACAGTCAGAACACAGCAGCAGTGTTCTGGAATCTTATGTGAGGGACAAACACTCAGAAGCCAGCAGCAGTGTTCTAGAATCCTTCGTGAGGGACAGACACTCAGATCCCTGCAGCGTGTTCTAGAATCCTTTTTGAGGGATAAACATTCAGAATGCCGCAGCAGTGTTCTGTAATCCAATGTGAGGGAAAAACAATCAGAACCCAGCAGCAGTGTTCTAGTATCCCATGTGAGGGAGAAACACTCAGAACCCCACAGCAGTGTTCTGGAATCCTATGTGAGTGACAAACACTCAGAAACCAGCAGCAGTGTTCTAGAATCCTTTGTGAGGGACAAACATTCAGACCCTCGAAGCAGTGTTCTGGAATCCTACGTAAGGGACAAACACTCAGAAACCAGCAGGAGTGCTCTGGATTCTTTTGTGAGGGACAAACAACCAGAACCCAGCAGGAGAGTTCTGTAATCCTATGTGAGGGACAATCACTCAGAACCTGGAAGCAGTGTTCTGGAATCCTTTGTGAGGGACAAACATTGAGAACCTCGTAGCTGTGTTCTGTAATCTTATGTGATGGACAAGCACTGTGAACGAAGCAGCAGGGTTCTGGATCCCCATGTGAGGGACAAACACTTAGAAACCAACAGCAGTGTTCTAGAATTCTTTGTGAGGGACAAACATTCAGACCCTCGAAGCAGTGTTCTGGAAACCTACATGCGGGGGAAACACTCAGAACCCAGCAGCAATGTTCTGAAATCCTTAGGGTTGGACAGACATTCAGAACCTCGTAGCATAACTCTGGAATCCTATGTGAAGGACAAACACTCAGAACCCAGCAGTAGTGTTTGGGAATCCTATGTGAGGGAAAACCACTCAGAACCCAGCAGCAGTTTTCTGGAATCCTATGTGAGTGACAAACACTCAGAGCCCAGGAGGAGTGTTCTATAATTCATTGTGAGGGACAAGCATTCAAACCCTCGAAGCATTTTTCTGGAATCCTATGTGAAGGACAAACATTCACACCCTCAGAGGAGTGTTCTGGAATGCTATGGAAGGACAAAAATTCAGAACCCAGTGGCAGTGTTCTGGAATCCTGTGTGAAGGACAGGCATTCAGACACCCGTAGCAGTGATATGGAATCCTTTGTGAGGGACAAACGCTCATACACTCTTAACAGTGTTCTGGAATACTATGTGAGGGATATTCTGACCCTCATAGCAGTGTTCTGGAAACCAATGTAAGGGCCAAACACTCAGAACCCAGCAATAGTGTTCTGGAATACTTTGTATGGGGAAAACATTCAGACAATGGTAGCAGTGTTCTGGAATCCTAAGTGAGGGAGAAACCCTCAGAAACAAATTGCAGTGTTCTAGAATTCTATGTGAGGGACAAACCCTCAGTATCGAGCAGCATTGTTTTGGAATCTTTTGTGATAGACAAACACTCAGAACCTAGCAGCAGTGTTCTGGAATCCTATGTGAAGGGGAAACACTCAAAACCCAGCAGCAATGTTCTGTTACACTAAGTGTGGGAAAAACACTCAAAACCCAGTCACTGTGTTCCGTAATCCTACCTGAGGGACAAACACTGGGAACCCCTTGGGAGTGTTCTGGAATCCTATGTGAGGGACAAACACTCAGAACTCACCAGCAGTGTTCTGGAATACTTTGTGAGGGACAAACACTCTGAACCCAGCAGCAGTGTTCTGGAATCCCATGTGAATAGATAAACTATCAGAACCCAGCAGCAGCGTTCTGGAATCCCATGTGAGTGATGAACATTCAGAACCATGCAGCAGTGTTCTAGATTCCTCTGTGAGATAGAAACATTCAGACCCTTGAAGCAGTGTTCTGGAATCCTATGAGATGGATAAACACTCAGCACCCAGCCACTGTGCTCTAGAATGCCATCTGTGGGACAAACATTCAGAGACTCGTAGAAGTGTTCTGGTATCCTTTGTGAGGGACAAACACTCAGAACACAGCAACAGAGTTCTGAAATCCTATGTGAGCGACAAACATTGAGAAATTCATAGCAGTGTTCTGGAATCCTATATGAGGGACAAACACTCAGCACCCAGCCACAGTGTTTTGGAATCCTATGTGAGGGACAAACGTTCAGACCCTCGTAGAAGTGTTCTGGAATCCTATGTGAGGGACAAACTCTACGAATCCAGCAGCAGTGTTCTAGAATCCTTTGTGAGGGACAAACATTCAGACCCTAGTAGCAGTGTTCTGGAATCCTACGTGAGGCACAAACTCTCACAACCCTGTAGCAGTGTTCTGGAATCTTATGTAAGAGACAAACACTCAGAACCCAGCAGCAGCATTCTGAAATCCTTTGTGATGGACAAACATTCAGACCCTCGTGGCAGTGTTCTGGAATCCTACGTAAGTGACAAACACTCAGAACTCAGTAGCAGTGGTCTGGAATCCTAAGGGAGGGACAAACACTCAGAAACCAGCAGCAGTGTTCTGGAATCCTCGGTGAGGGAGAAACACTCAGAACACAACAGTAGTGTTGTGGAATCCTATGCGAGGGCCAAACACTCAGAACCCTTCCACTATGTTCTGGAATCCTATGAGAGGAACAAACACTCAGAAACGCATAGAATTGTTCTGGAATCTTATGTGAGGGACAAACACTCAGAATGCAGCAGCAGTTTTCAGGAATCCTATGTGTTGGACAAACACTCAGAAACCAGCAGCAGTGTTCAGGAATCCTATGTGAGGGACAAACACGCAGAACAGAGCAGCAGAGTTCTGCAATCCTTTGTGAGTGACAAACATTCGGAACCTCGTAGCAGTGTTCTGCAATCCTATGAGAGGGACAGACTGTCAGAAGCAAGCAGCAGTGTTCTCAAATCCCATATGACTGACAAACACTCATAAACCATCAGCAGTGTTACAGAAACCTCTGTAAGGGACAAACATTCAGATGCAAGAAGCAATGCTGTGGAATCATACCTGAGGGACAAACACTCGGATCCCAGCAGCAGTGTTCTGGAATCCTTTGTGATTGACAAACATTGAGACTCTCGTAGCAGTTTTCTGGAATCCCATGTGAGGGACAAACACTCAGAACCCAGCAGCAGTGTTCTGTAATCCTATCTGAGGGACAAACCGTCAGAACCCAGCCACTGTGTACTGGAAACCTATCTGAGGGACAAACGTGCAGTCCCAAGTAGAAGTGTTCCGGAATCATATATGAGGGACAAACACTAAGAAACAAGCAGCAGAGCTCTGGAATCCTTTGTGAGGGACAAAGAAGCAGAACACAGAAGCAGTGGTCTGGAATCCTTTGTGAGGGAAAAAATATTTAGACCCTTGTGGCAGTGTTATGGAATCCTATGTGAGGGAAAAACATTCAGACCCTTGTAGCAGTGTTTTGGAATCCTATGTGAGGGAAAAACATGCAGACACTCGTTGCATTGTTCTGGAGTCCAATATGTGGGACAAACAGTCCGAACCCATCAGTAGTGTTCTGGATTTCTTACTGAGGGATAAACATTCACAGTCTCGTAGCAGTGTTCTGGAATACTATATGAAGGAAAAACCCTCAGAACCCAGCAGCATTGTTCTGGAATTCTATGTGAGGGACAACCACCCAGAAACCAACAGCAGTGCTCTGTAATCCCTTGTGAGGGACAAGCAGAGTAATCCCAGCAGCAGTGTTCTGGAATACTATGTGAGTGACAACACTCAGAACCCAGGAACTGGGTTCTGGAATTGTCTGTGCGGGCCAGTCATTCAGAACCTCGTGGCAGTGTTCTGGAATCCTATGTGAGGGAAAAACACTGTGATCTCAGCAGCAGTGTTCTGGAATCCTATGTGAGGGTGAAACACTCTGATCCCAGCAGCCGTGTTATGGAATCCCATGTGAGAGACAAACACTGAGATCCTAGCAGCCCTGTTCTGGAATCCTATGTGAGGTACAAACTCTCAGAACCCAGCAGCAGTGTTATGGAATCCTTTGTGAGAGACAAACATTCAGACCCTCGTAGCAGTGTTCTGGAATCTTATGTGAGGCACAAACACTCACAACCCAGTAGCAGTGTTCTGGATTCCTATGTAGGGGAGAAACACTCAGAACCCAACAGCAGTGTTCTGGAATCCTTTGTGATGGACATACATTCAGACCCTCGTAGGAGTGTTCTGGAATCCTACGTAAGGGACAAACACTCAGAACTCAGTATTAGTGTTCTTGAAAGCTAAGTGAGGTACAAACACTCAGAAACCAGCAGCAGTGTTCTGGAATCCTTGGTGAGGGACTAACACTCAGAACCCAACAGCAGTGTTCTGGAATTATATGTGAAACAAAGACTCAGAACTCAGAAGCAGTGTTCTGGAATCGTATGTGAGGAACAAGCAATCAGAACCCAGCAGCAGCATTATGGAATCCTATGTGAGGGACAAACACTCAAACCCAGCCACTGTGTTCTGGAAACCTATCTGAGTGACAAACATTCAGACACTCGTGGAAGTGTTCTGGAATCCTACGTGAGAGACGCTCAGAAACCAACATAGGTGTTCTGGAATCCTTTTTGTGGGAGAAACAAACAGAACCCAGCAGCAGTCTTCTGGAATCCTATGTGAGGGAAAAATATTTAGAACCCCGTAGCAGTGTTCTGGAATTCTATGTGAGGGACAAACACACAGGACCCAGCAGCAGTGTTCTGGAACCTTATGTGATGGACAAACACTGAGAACAAAACAGCAGTGTTCTGAAATCACATGTCAGCGAAAAACATTCAGAAATTCGTAGCAGTGTTCTGGAATCCTTTGTGACAGAAAACACTCAGACTGTCGTAGCAGTGTTCTGATTTCCCATGTGAGGGACAAACACCCAGAAGCCAGCAGCAGTGTCCTAGAATCCTCCGTGAGGGACAAACACACAGAACCAAGCAGCAGGGTTCTGGAATCCTATGTGAGGGACAAACACTCGGAACCCCGCCACTGTGTTCTTGAATCCTAACTGAGGGGCAAACATTCAGACACTGGTAGAAGTGTTCTGGAATCCTATGTGAGGGATAAACACTCAGAAACCAGCAGCAGTATTCTGGAATCCTTTATGAGGGAAAAACATTCAGAACCTCATAGCAGTGTTCTTTAATCCTGTGTGAGGGACAAACCGTCTGAACTGAGCAGCAGTGTTCTGCAATCACTCTTGAGAGACAAACACTCTGAACCCAGCAGCAGTGTTCTGAAATCCTAAATGAGGAACAAACCCTCAGAACCCAGCAGCAATGTTCTAGAATCCTTTGTGGGGTACAAACATTCAGAACCTCGAAGCAGTGTTCTGGAATCCTATTTGAGGGACAAACTCACAGAACCCAGCAGCAGTATTCTGGAATCCCAAGTGAGGGACAAACACTCAGAAACCAGCAGCAGTGTGCTGGAATGCTTTTTGAGGGACAAACATTCAGACCTTCGAAGCAGTGTTCTGCAATCCTATGTGATTGACAACTCTCAGAACCTAGGAGCAATCTTCTGTAATCTGTTGTGATGGAGAAACATTCGGAACCTCTTCGCAGTGTTCTGGAATCCTAGGTGTGGGAGAAACACTCAGAATCCAGCAGCAGTGTTGTAGAATCCTCTGTGAGGGAGAAACACTCAGAACTCAGCAGTAGTGTTCTGGAATCCTATGTGATGGACAAACACTCAGATCACTGCAGCAGGGGTCTGAAATCCTATGTGAAGGATAAGCACTCAGAACCCAGCAGCAGCGTTCTGGAATCCTTTCTGAGGGACAAACATTCAGAACCTCGTAGCAGTGTTCTGGAATCTTATGTGAGGGACAAACACTCAGAACCCAGCAGCATTGTTCTGGAATCTTAGATGTGGGACAAACACTCAGAACCAGGCAGTAACGTTCTGGAATCCCATGTGAGGGACAAACACTCAGAACCCAACAGCAGTATTCTGGAATCCTATGTGAGTGACAAACACTCAGAATCCAGCAGCAGTGTTCTAGAATTCTTTGTGTGGGACAAGCATTCATGCCCTCAAAGCAGTGCTCTGGAATCCTATGTGAAGGAGGAACAGTCACAACCCAGCAGCAGTGTTCAGGAATCCTTTGTGATGGACAAACATTCAGACCGTCGGAGCAGTGTTCTGGAATCCTAAGTGAGGGACAAACACTCAGAACCAAGCCACTGTGTTCTGGAATCCTTCTGAGGGACAAATATTCAGACACCCGTGGAGGTGTTCTGGAATCCTATGTGAGGGACAAACACTCAGAAAACAGCAGCGGTGCTATGGAGACCTTTGTGAGGGCAACAAACACAAGCCAGAGTTTTATTCTGTAACCTTTTTGAGGGAAAACATTCAGAACCCCGTAGCAGTGTTCTGGAATCCTATGTAAGGGACAAACATTCAGAACCCAGCAGCAGTGTTTTGGAATCCTGAGTGAAAGACAAAGATTCAGAACTTCATAGCACTGTTCTGGAATCCCATTTGAGGGACAAACACTCAGAACCCAGCAGCAGTGTTCTAGAATCCTATGTGAGAGACAAACCCTCAGAACCCAGCAGCAGTGTTCTGGAATCCCATGTGAGGGACAAACACTCAGTACCCAACCACTGTGTTCTGGAATCCTATATGAGGGACAAACATTCAGACAATCGTAGAAGTGTTCTGGAATCCTATGTGAGGGACAACACTCAGAAACCACCAGCAGTGCTCTGGAATCTTTTGTGAGGGACAAAAATCTGAACCCAGCAGCACTGTTCTCTAATCCTTTTTAGGGACAAACGTTCAGAACCTCGTAGGAGTGTTCTTGAATCCTAAGTGAGGGATAAAAGCCCAGAACGCAGCAGCAGTGTTCTGGAATCCTGCGTGAGTGACAAACACTCCGAACCCCGCAGGAATGTTCTTGAATCCTTTGTGAGGGACAAACATTCAAACCCTCGAAGCAGTGTTCTGGAATCCTATGTGAGGTACAAACAGTCATAACCCAGCAGAAATCTTCTGGAATCCTTTGTTATGGACAAACATTCAGGCCCTTGTAGCAGTGTTACGGAATCCTAATGGAGGCACAAACACTCAGAACCCAGCAGCAGTGTTCTGGAATCTTATGTGAGGGACAAACACTCACAATCCAGCAGAAGTGTTCTGGAATCCTATCTGAGGGACATACACTCAGAACCCAGTAGCAGTGTTCTGGAATTCTATGTGATGAACACACACTCAGAAACCAGCAGCTGTTTTCTGGAATCTTGTCGAGTGACAAATATTCAGACACTCGTGGAAGTGTTCTGGAATCCTATGTGAGGGATAAACACTCAGAAACTAGCAGCGGTGATCTGGAATCCTTTGTGAGGCACAAGCAAACAGAACCCAGCAGCTGTGTTCTGGAATCTTTGTGAGGGAAAAATATTTAGACCCTTGTAGCAGTGTTCTGGAATCCTATGTGAGGGACAAACACTGATAACCCAACGGCAGTGTTCTGGACTCCTCTATGAAGTCAAACCCTCAGAACCCAGCAGCAGTTTTCTGAAATAAAATGTGAGCAACAAACATTCAGAATTTCGTAGCAGAGTTCTGGAATCCTATGTGAGTGACAAACACTCAGAAACCAGCAGCAGTGTTCTAGAATCCTTTCTGTGGGACAAACTTTCAGACGCTCGAAGCAGTGTTCTGGAATCCTATGTGATGGACAAACACTCCGATCCCATCAGCAATGTTCTGCAATCCTTTGTGATGGGCAAACATTCAGACCCTCGTAACAGATTTTGGGAATCCTAAGTGAGGGACAAACACTCAGAACCCAGCAGCAAGCAGTGTTCTAGAATCCTATATGAAGAACAAACACTCACAACCCAGCAGCCGTGTTCTTCAATCCTGTTTGAGGGACAAACACTCAGAACCCACTCACTGTGTACAGGAATCCTATCTGTGGGCCTAACATTCAGACCCTCGTAGCAGTGTTCTGGAATCCTATGTGAGGGAGAAACTCTAAAAAACCAACAGCAGTGCTCTGGAATCCTTTATGAGGGAAAAACATTCAGACCTTTCTAGCAGTGTTCTGGAATCCTATGTGAGGGAAATATTTTCAGAGCCTCGTAGCAGTGTTCTGTAATCATATATGAGTGACAAACACTCAGAAACCAGCAGCAGTGTTCTGGAATCCCTTGAGAGGGAAAAACATTTACATCTTCATAACAGTGTTCTGGAATCCTTACTGTGGGAAAAATATTCAGACCCTCGTAACAATGTTCTGGAATCCTATATGAGGGACAAACACTCAAAAACCAGCAGCAGTGTTCTGGAATCCTATGTGAGGGAAAAACACTCAGAACCCAACTGCAGTGTTCTGGAGTCCTGTGGGAGTGACAAACTTTCAGAAATTCGTAGCAGTATTCTGGAATCTTATGTGAGGGACAAACACACAGAACCCAGTAGCAGTGTTCTGGAATCTTATGTGAGTGACAAACACTCAGAATCCAGCAACAGTGTTCTGGAATCCTATGTGAGGGACAAACACTCAGAACCCAGCAGCAGTGTTCTAGAATACTTTGTGAGGAAAAACACTCAGAACACAGCAGTAGTGTTCTGGTATCCACTGTGTGCTAGAATCCTATCTGAGGGACAAACATTCAGAACCTAGTAGAAATGTTCTGGAATTCTACGTGAGGGACAAATACTAAGAAATCTGCAGCAGTGCTCTGGAATCTATTGTGAAGGTCAAACAAATAGAACCCAGTAGCCTTGTTCTACAATACTTTATGAGGGAAAAACTTTCAGACCCTCATAGCGGTGGTCTGGAATCACACATTAGGGACAAACACTCAGAACCCAGCAGCAGTGTTCTGTACTCCTTTGTGAGGGACAACATTCAGTTCCTCAAGGCAGTGTTCTGGAATCCTATGTGAATGACAAACACTAAGAAACCATCAGCAGTGTTCTGGAATCCTATGTGAATGACAAACACTAAGAAACCATCAGCAGTGTTCTGGAATCCTTTGTGAGTGACAAACATTCAGACCCCCTTAGCAGTGTTCTGGAATTCTATGTGAGGGACATTCAGACATAGCAGTGTTTTGGGCATAGCAGTGTTTTGGAAACCAATGTGAGGGCCAAACAGTCAGAACCCAGCATCAGTGTTCTGGAATACTTGGTAAGGGACAAACATTCAGAAAATCTTATCAGTTTTCTGGAATCCCAACTGAGGGAGAAACGCTCAGAAAATATCTGCAGTGTTCTAGAATTCTATGTGAGGGACAAACCCTCATTACCGAGCTGCAGTGTTCTGGATTCCTAGGTGAGGGACAAACACTCAGAACAAAGCAGCAGTGTTCTGGAATCCTATGTGATGGACAAAAACTCAGAACCCAGCAGCAGTGTTCTGATACCCTATGGGACGGACAAACACTCAGAACCCAGCCCCTGTGTTCTGGAATCCTATCTGAAGGACAAACATTCGGAGACTTGAAGAAGTCTTCTGGAATCCTATGTGAAGGACAAACAGTCAGAAACCTGTAGCAATGTTCTGGAATCATTTGTAAGGAACAAACACTCAAAACTCAAAAGCAGTATCCTGGAATCCTATGTGAGGGCCAAACACTAAGAACCCAGCAGCAGTATTTTCGAATCCTTAATGAGTGACAAACAGTCAGAAACCTGCAGCAGTGTTTTAGATTGCTTTGTGATATACAAACATTCAGACCCTCGAAGCAGTGTTCTGGAATTCTGTTTGAGAGACAAACACTCAGAACCCAGCCACTGTGTTCTGGAATGTTATCTGAGGGAAAAATATTCGGAGCCTCGTAGAAGTGTTCTGGAATCCTATGTGAGTGACAAATACTCAGAAACCATCAGCAGTGCTCCGGAATCCTTTGTGAGGGATAAATAAACAGAGCCCAGCAGCAGTGTTCTGGAATCCTTCGTGAGGGACAAACATTCAGAACCTTGTAGCCGTGTTCTGGAATCGTATGTGAGGGTCAAACACTTTGAACCAGCAGCTGTGTTCTGGAATCCTATGTGAGGGACAAACACTCAGAACCCAGCAACAGTGTTCTGTAATCCTTTGTGAGGGACAAACACTAAGAACCCAGCAACATTGTTCTGCAATCCTTTGTGTGGGACAAACACTCAGAACCCAGCAGCAGAGTTCTGGAATCCCATGTGAGGGACAAACGTTCAGGCACTCAGAATAGTGTTTTGGAATCCTATGTTAGGGACAAACACTCAGAAAACTGCAGCAGTGTTCTGGAATCCTACGTGGGGGACAAGCATTCAGATCCTGATAGCACTGTTGTGGAATGCTCTGTGAGGGACAAACAATCAGACCCTCGTAGCAGTGTTCTGGAATCCTGTGTGAGGTACAAACCCTCAGAACTCAGCAGCAGCTTTCTGGAATTCTATGTGAGGGACAAACCCTCAGAACCTAACAGCAGTGTTCTGGAATCATACGTAAGGTAATAACACTCAGAACCCTGCAGCAGTGTTCTGGAATGCTATGTAAGAGACAAACACACAAAACAGAGCAGTAGTATTCTGGTATCCTATATGAGGTAAAAACACTCAGAACCCAACAGAAGTGTTCTGAAATCCTATGTCAGGCACAAACATTCAGAAGCTCCCAGAAGTGTTCTGGAATATTATGTGAAGGACAAAAACTCAGAATCCAGGTGCAGTATTCTGGAATCCTATGTGAGGGACAAACATTCAGACCCTCCTAGCAGTGTTCTGGAATGCAATCTGTTGTAGAAACCCTCAGAACACAGCAGCAGTTGTCTGGAATCCTTTGTGATGGAAAACATTCAGACCCTAGTAGCAGTGTTCTGGAATCCTATGTGACGGACAAACCTTCAGAATCCAGCAATAGTGTACTGGAATCCTCTGTGAGGGACATACACTCAGAACCCAGCAGTAGTGTTTTGGAATCCTTTGTGAGGGACAAACCCTCAGAATCCAGCAGTAGTGTTCTGGAATCCTCTGTGAGGGACATACACTCAGAACCCAGCAGTATTGTTCTGGAATCCTATGTCAGGGACAAACATTCAGAAACCAGCAGCAGTTTTCTGGAATCCTATGTGAGGGACAAACACTCAGAAACCAGCAGCAGTGTTCTGCAATCCTATGTGAGGGACAAACACTCTGAACCCAGCAGCAGTGTTCTAGAATCCTATGTGAGTGACAAACATTCAGAATTTTGTAGCAATGTTCTGCCATTCTATGTGAGTGACAAACACTCAGAAGCCAGCAACAGCCTTCTAGAATCCTATGTGAGGGAAAAACACTCAGAAACCAGCAGCAATGTTCTAGCATCCCTTGTGAGGGACAAACATTCAGAATCTCGTAGAAGTGCTCTGGAATCGCAAGTGAGGGAGAAACACACAGAACCCAGCAGCAATGTTTTGGAATCCTGTTTGAGCGACAAAGATACAGAACTTCGTTGCAATGTTCTGGAATCCCATGTGAGGGACAAACACTGAGAATCCAGCAGCAGTGTGCTGGAATTCTATGTGAGGAACAAACACTCAGAACCCAGCAGCAGTGTTCTAGAATCCTATGTGAGGGACAAACATTCAGAAACTCGTAGCAGTGTTCTGCAATCCTGTGTGAGGGACAAACACTCAGAACCCAGCCACTGTGTTCTGGAATCCTATCTGAGGGACAAACATTCAGACACTCTTAGAAGTGTTCTAGAATCCTATGTGAGAGACAAACACTCAGAAACAAGCAGCGGTGCTCTGGAATCCTTTTTGAGGGACAAACAGAGCCCAGCAGCAGTGTCCTGGAATCCTTTGTGAAGGAAAATAATTGAGACCCTCGTCTCAGTTTTCTGCAATCCTATGTGAGGGAGAAACACTCAGAACCCAGCAGCAGTGTTCTGGAATCCCATGTGAGAGACAAACACTGAGATCCTAGCAGCCCTGTTCTGGAATCCTATGTGAGGTACAAACTCTCAGACACTCGAAGCAGTGTTCTGGGATCCTATGTGAGGGACGACCGGTCAGAACCCAGCAGCAGTCTTCTGGATTCCTATCTGAGAGTGAAACATTCCGACCCTCACAGCAGAGTTCTGGAATCCTATGTGAGGGACAAACACTCAGAACCTACCAGCAGTGTTCTGGAATCCTTTGTGAGGAACAAATACTCAGAACCCAGCCGCAGTGTTCTGGAATCCCATGTGAGGGACTAGCATTCAGACCCTCATAGCAATGTTCTGAAATCCTATGCGTTGGAGAAAAATACAGACACTCCTAGCAGTGTTCTGGAATTCTATGAGAGGGACAAACAATCAGCACCCAGAAGCAGTATTCTGGAATACTTAGTCAGGGACCATCAGTCAGACTCTCTTAACAGTGTTCCAGAATCCTTTGTGAGGGAGAAACACTCAGACCCTAGTAGCAGTGTTCCGGAATACTATGTGAGGGACAAACGCTCAGAACCCAGCAGGAGTGTTTTGGAATTCAATGTGAAGGGCAAACCCTCAGAACCTAGCAGCATAGTTCTGGAACTCAGTGAGAGGGACACACACTCAGAACCCAGCAGCAGTGTTCTGGAATACTGTTTGACGGAAAAACACTTAGAAACCAACAGCAGTGTCCTGGAATCCTTCGTGAGGGACAAACATTTAGAACCTTGTAGCCGTGTTCTGGAATCGTATGTGAGGGTCAAACACTTTGAACCAGCAGCTATGTTCTGGAATCCTATGTGAGGGTCAAACACTCAGAACCCAGCAACAGTGTTCTGTAATCCTTTGTGAGGGACAAACACTAAGAACCCAGCAACATTGTTCTGCAATCCTTTGTGTGGGACAAACACTCAGAACCCAGCAGCAGAGTTCTGGAATCCCATGTGAGGGACAAACGTTCAGGCACTCAGAATAGTGTTTTGGAATCCTATGTTAGGGACAAACACTCAGAAAACTGCAGCAGTGTTCTGGAATCCTATGTGGGGAACAAGCATTCAGATCCTGATAGCACTGTTGTGGAATACTTTGTGAGGGTGAGACATGCAGACCCTGGTAGCAGTGTTCTATAATCCCATGTGAGGGCCAAACACTCAGAATCCAGCAACAGTGATCTGGAATCTTATGAGTTGGACAAAAACTCACAACCCAGCAGAATTGTTCTGGAATCCTAAGTGATGGACAAACACTCTGAACTAAGCAGCAGAGTTCTGGAATCCTATGTGAGGGACAAACACTCAGAACCCAGCAGCAGTGTTAAGGAATCCTATGTGAGGGACAAACCCTCAGAATGTTAGAGACACATAGAATTCCAGAACACTGCTGCTGGTTTCTGAGGGTTTGTCCCTCACATAGGATTCCAGACCACTGCTATGATGGTCTGAATGTCTGCCTTCACAAAGGATTCCATAACACTGCTGCTGGGATCTGAGGGTTTGTCCCTCACATAGGATTCCAGACCACTGCTATGATGGTCTGAATGTCTGCCTTCACAAAGGATTCCATAACACTGCTGCTGGGTTCTGAGGGTTTGTCCCTCACATAGGAATCTAGAACGCTGCTGCTGGGTTCTGAGTGTTTGTCCCTCACATGGGATTCCAGAACACTGCTGCTGTGTTCTGAGTGTTTGTCCCTCACGTAGACTTCCAGAACAGTGCTACGATGGTCTGAATGTTTGTCCCACAAACAGGATTCCAGAAGACTGCTGATGGGTTCGGAGTGTTTCTCCCTTACATAGGATTCCAAAACACTACTGCTAGGTTCTGATGTTTTGTCCCTCACATAGAATTCCACAACATTGCGTCTGGGTTATTAGGGTTTGTCCCTCAAATAGGATTCCAGACCACTGATACGATGGTCTGAATGTTTGTCCCTCACAAAAGATTCCAGAACACTGCTGTTGGGTTCTGAGGGTTTGTCCCTCACGTAGGATTCTAGAACACTGTTGCTGGGTTCTGAGTGTTTATCCCTCACATAGGATTCCAGAAGAATGCTGCTGGGTTCTGAGTGTTTGTCCTCACTTAGGATTCCAGAACACTGCTGCTGGGTTCTGAGGGTTTGAAACACACACCGGTTTCGAGAACACTGCTACAAGGGTCTGAACGTTTGTTTCTCACATAGGATTCCAGAACACTGCTATGAGGGTCTGAATGTTTGTCCCTGCTAAATTATTCCAGAATACTGCTTCTGGGTTCTGAGTGTTTGTCCCTCACATAGGATTCCAGAACACTGCTACGAGGGTCTGAATGCTTTTCCCTCACATAGGATTCCAGTACACTGCAACGAGGGTCTGCATGTTTGTAACTTGGAAAATATTAAAGAACACTGCTGCTGGTTTCAGAGTGTCTGTCCTGTACATAGAATTCCGGAACACTGCTGCTGGATTTGGAGTGTTTTTTCCTCACGTAAGATTCCACAGCACTGCTACTGGGTTCTGAGGGTTTGTCCCTCCCTTAGAATTCCAGAACACTGCTACTCGTTGCTCACTGTTTGTCCCTCACATAGGATTCCAGTACACTGTTGCTGTGTTCTGAGTGCTTGTCCTCACATAAGATTCCAGTACACTGTTAAGAGGGTATGAAAGTTTGTCCCTCACAAAGGATTCCAGAAGAGTGCTGCGGGGTTCTGAGTGTTTGCCTCTCACATAGGATTCCTGAATACTGCTGATATGTTCTGTGGGTTTGTCCCTCACGTAGAATTCTAGAACACTGCTGCTGGATTCTGAGTGCTTGTCCCTCACCTAGGATTCCAGAACACTGCTATGAGTGTCTGAATGTTTGTCCCACACAAAGGATTCCACAACAATGATTCTCGTTTTTGAGGGTTTGTCCCTCATATAGAATTCCGGAACACCATGGCTAGGTTCTGAGTGTTTGTCCCACAGAGAGAATACCAGGACACTGCTTCCACGTTCTGTGTGTTTGCCCCTCACATAGGATTCCACAACACTGCTCTGAGGGTCTGAATGTTTGTCCCTCACAAAGGATTCCAGAACACTGCTGCTGTTTTCTGAGTGTTTGTCCTCAGATTGGACTCCAGAACACTGCTACAACTGTACGAAAGTTTGTCCCACAGAAAAGATTCCAGAACAATGCTGCTGGGTTCTGAGTGTTTATCCCTAACATAGGATTCAACAACACTGCTCTGAGGGTCTGAATGTTTGTCCCTCACAAAGGATTCCAGAACACTGCTGCTGTTTTCTGAGTGTTTGTCCTCAGATTGGACTCCAGAACACTGCTACAACTGTACGAAAGTTTGTCCCACAGAAAAGATTCCAGAACAATGCTGCTGGGTTCTGAGTGTTTATCCCTCACATAGGATTCAAGAACCTTGCAGTTGGGTTCTGAGTGTTTTACCCTCACATAGGATTCCAGAATACTGTTGCCAAGTTCTGAGGGTTTGTCCCTCACATAATATTCTAGAACACTGCTGCTGGGTTTTAAGGGTTTGTCACTCACATAGGATTCCAGAACACTGCTTGAAGGGTCTGAATGTTTGTCCTTCACAAAGGATTATAGAGCACTGCTGCCATGTTCTGAGTGTTTGCTCCAAGCATAGGAATCCACAACACCGCTCGGAGGGTCTGAATGTTTTTCCCTCACAAAGGACTCCAGAACACTGCTGCTGGGTTCTGTGTGTTTGTCCACACAAAGGATTCCAGAACAGTGTTACAGGGTTTTGAGTGTTTGTCCCTCACTTAGGTTTAAAGAATATTGCTCTGAGGGCCTGAGTGTTTGTCCCTCATGAAACACTCTAGAACACTGCTGCTGGTTTCGGAGTGTTTGTCCCTCACATAGAATTCCAGAACCCTCCTGAGAGGGTCTGAACGTTTGACCTTCACAAAGGATTCCCAAACACTGCTGCTGGGATCTGAGTGTTTGTCCTTCACATAGGATTCCAGAACACTGCTACGGGGGTCTGAATGTTTCTCCCTCACAAGGGATTCCAGAACACTGCTGCTGAGTTCTCAGTGTTTGTCCCTCACAAAGGATTCCAGAACACTGCTGCTGGGTTCTCAGTGTTTGTCTCTCACATAGGACTCAGGACACTGCTACGAGGGTGTGAATGTGTGTCCCACACTTAGGATTATGGAACACTGTTACAAGTGTCTGAATGCTTGTCCCTCACATAGGACTCCAGAACACTGCAACAGAGTTCTGAGTGCTTGCCCCTCACTTAAGATTAAAGGACACTGCTATGAGGGCCTGAATATTTGTCCCTCACAAAAGATTCCAGAACACTGCTTCCGGGTTCGGAGTGTTTGTTTCTCATATTGAATTCCAGAACACTGCTACCTGGGTCTGAATATAGTCCCTCACAAAGGATTCTGTAATATCGTTGCTGGGTTCTGAGACTTTGTCCCTCACATAGGATTACAGAACATGGCTACGAGGGTCTGAATGATTTTCCCTCAAAAAGGAATCCAGAACACTGCTGCTGGGTTCTGAGTGTTTGTCCATAACATAGGATACCAGAACACTGCTGCTGGGTTCTGAGTGTTTGACCCTCTCATAGGATTCCAGAACACTGCTGTTGGGTTCTCAGTGTTTCTCCCTCACATAGGATTCCAGAACACTGCTACAAGTTTCTGAAGGTTTTTCCTTCACAAAGGATTCCAGAACACTGCTGCGGGGTTCTGTGTGTTTGTCAATCAAATATGATTCCAGAACACTTCTGCTCGGTTCTTAGTGTTTGCCACTCACATATGATTCCTGAATACTTCTACGAGGGTCTCAAAGTTTGTCACTCACATAGGATTCCAGAACACTTCTAGGAGGGTATGAATGTGTGTCCTTCACAATGGATTTCAAAACACACTGGTGGGTTCTGAGGATTTCTCCCTCACATAGGATTCCAGAACTCTGTTGCTGGTTTTCCAGAACACTGCTGATGGGTTCTGTGTCTTTGCCAATCAAATAGGATTCCAGAACACTGCTGCTGGGTTCTGAGTGTTTGTCCTACACATAGGTTTCCAGAACACTGCTACGAGTGTCTGAATGTTTGTCACTCACATAGGATTAGAGAATACTGCTAAGAGGGTCTGAATCTATGTCCCTCACAAAGGATTCCAGAACACTGCTGCTGGGTTCTTAGTAATTGTCCCTCACTTAGGATTACAGAACACTGCTACGAGGTTCTGAATATTTGTCCCTCACATCGGATTCCAGAACACTGGTACAAATGTCTGAAAGCTTTTCCCTCACAACGTTTTCAAGAAACTGCTCCTGGGTTCTTGGTGTTTTACCCTCACATAGTATTCCAGAAAACTTCTCCAAGGTTCTGAATGTTTGTCCCTCACAAAGGATTCCAGAACACTGCTGCTGGGTTCTGAGTCTCTGTCACTCACATAGGATTCTAGGACAATTCTGCTGGGTTCTGATTGAGCCTCACATCTTATCCAGAACACTGCTACGAGGGTCTGAATCTTTGTCCCTCACAAAGGATTCCAGAACACTGCTGCCGTGTTCTCAGTGTTTGTCCCTTACATAGCAATCCGGAACACTGCTTCTGGGATCTGAGAGTTTGTCCCACACATAGGATTCCAGAACACTGCTGCTGGGTTCCTGGTGTTTGTCCCTCACAAAGGATTCCAGAATACTGCTACTGGGTTCTGATTGTTTGTCCCTCTCATAGGATTCCAGAACACTGGTACGACGGTCTTAAGGATTCTCCGTAACATAGCATTCCAGAACATTGCTACGATGGTCTGAATGCTAGTCCCTCACGTGGGATTCCAGAATACTGTTGCTGGGTTCTGAGTGTTTGTCCTTCACATAGGATTCCAGAACACTGCTGCTGGGTTCTGAATGTTTTTCCCTCTCACAGGATTGCAGAACACAGCTATGAGGGTCTGAATGTTTGTCTCTCACATATGATTCCAGAACACTGCTATGATGGTCTGAATGCTTGCCCCTCATGTAGGATACCAGAACACAGCTGCTGGGTTTTGGGTGTTTCTCTGTCACATAGGATTCCAGAACACTGCTTTGAGGGTCTGAATGTTTTTCTCTCACAAAGGATTCCAAAACACTGCTGCTGGGTTCGGGGTGTTTGTCCCTCATATAGGATTCGAGAACACTGTTACGAGGCTCTGAATGTTTGTGCCTCAGGAAGGAAACCAGCACACTGCTGCTGGGTTCTGAGGGTTGGTCCCTCACATAGGATTCCATAACACTGATAAGAAGGCCTGAATGTAAGTCCCTCACAAACACTGCTGCAGGGTTCTCAGTGTTTGTCCCTCACATAGTATTACAGAACATGGCTGCTGGGTTCTGATTATTTGTCCCTCACATAGCATTCGAGAACACTGCTACGGGGGTCTGAAGGTGTATATAGCACATGGGATTCCATAACATTGCTACGAGGGTCTGAATATTTGTCCCTCACAAAGGATTCCAGAACACTGCTGCCGGTTTCTGAGTGTTTGTCCCTCCCATAGGATTCCAGAACATTGCTGCTGGGTTCTGAGGGTTTGTCAATCCCATAGGATTCCAGAACACTGATGCAGGGTTCTGAGTGATTCTCCCTAACATAGGATTCAAGAACACTGCTAAGAGGGTCTGAATCTTTGTCCTTCACAAAGAATTCCAGACCACTCCTGATGGGTCCTGAGTGTTTGTCCCACAAATTGGATTTGAGAACACTGCTGCTGGGTTCTCAGGGTTTGTTCCTCACATTGGATTACAGAACACTTTAGGAGGGTCTGAATGTTTTTCCCTCTGTTAGAATTCCAGTACACAGTGGCTGGGTTCTGAGTGTTTGTCCCTCCCATAGGATTGCAGAACATTGCTGCAGGTTTCTGAGTGATTGTCCCTAACA
This sequence comes from Homo sapiens, assembly GCF_000001405.40. Classification (NCBI taxonomy): domain Eukaryota; kingdom Metazoa; phylum Chordata; class Mammalia; order Primates; family Hominidae; genus Homo; species Homo sapiens. The sequence continues at coordinate 18,472,839 of NC_000014.9, read as the reverse complement.
TAGGATTCCAGAACACTGCTACGAGTGTCTGAATGTTTGTCCCTCACAAAGAATTACAGATCAATCCTGTTGGGTTCTGAGTGTCTGTCCCACCAATTGGATTCGAGAACACTGCTGCTGGGTTCTGAGGGTTTGTTCCTCACATAGGATTACAGAACACTGCTACGAGGTTCTGAATGTTTTTCCCTCACAAAGGATTCCCGAACACTGCTGCTGTGTTCTTTGTTTGTCCACCACATCGTATTTCAGAACACTGCTGCAGGGTTCTGAGTGTTTTTCCATGACATAGGATTCCAGAACAGTGCCACGACGGTCTGAATGATTGTCCCTCACATAAGATTCCAGAACACTGCTATGAGGGTCTGAATGCTTGTCCCTCACATAGCATTCCAGAACACTGCTGCTGGGTTCTGAATGTTTGCCCCTCACATAGGTTTCCAGAACACTGCTACTGGGTTCTGAATGTTTGTCCTTCACATAGGATTATAGAACACTGCTCCGACGGTCTGAATGTTTGTCCCTCACTTAAGATTTCAGAACACTGCTGCTGATTTTTGAATGTTTCTCCCTCACATAGGAATCCAGAACACTTCTGCTGGATTCTGAGTGTTTGTCCCTTATATAGGATACCAGAACACTTCTACTGGATTCTGAGTGTTTGTCCCTTATATAGAATACCAGAACACTGCTGCTGGGTTTTGTTTGTCCCTCACATAGCATTCCAGAACACTGCTGCTGGGTTCTGAATGTTAGTACCTCACGTACGATTCCAGAACACTGCTGCAAGGTTCTGAGGGTTTGTCCTTCACATAGAATTGCAGAACACTGTTTCTGAGTTCTGAGGGTTTGTACCTCACACAGGATTCCAGAACACTGCTACAAGGGTCTGAATGTTTGTCCCTCACAGAGCATTCCAGAACAGTGTTATGAGGGTCTGAATGCTTGTCCCACACATAGGATTCCAGAACCCTGCTGCAGGGCTCTGAGTGTTTGTCCCTCACATAGGATTCCAAAACACTGCTCTGAGTGTCTGAAAGTTTGTCCCTCAAAAAGGATTCCAGAACACTGCTGCTGGGTTCTGACGGTTTGTCCCTCACATAGAATTCCCGAACACTGCTGCTGGGTTCTGAGTGCTTGTTCCAAACCCGGGATTCCAGAATACTGCTCGGAGGTTCTGAAAGTTTGCTCCTCACCAAGGATACCAGAACACTGCTGCTGGGTTCTGAATGTTTGTCCCTCACATATAATCCCAGAGCACTGCTACGAGTGTCTGAATGTTTGTCCCTCAAAGCGATACCAGAACACTGCTTTTGAGTTCTGAGTGTTTGTCCTTCACAAAGTATTCCAGAACACTGCTACTGGGTTCTGAGTGTTTGTCCCTCACATAGGGTTCCAGAACACTGCTACTGGGTTCTGAGTGTTTGTCCTTCACATAGGATTATAGAACACTGCTCCGAGAGTCTGAACGTTTGTCCCTCACTTAAGATTTCAGAACACTGCTGCTGATTTTTGAATGTTTGTCCCTCACATGGGAATCCAGAACACTTCTGCTGGATTCTGAGAGTGTTTGTCCCTTATATAGAATACCAGAACACTTCTACTGGATTCTGAGTGTTTGTCCCTTATATAGGATACCAGAACAGTGCTGCTGGCTTTTGTGTGTTTGTCCCTCACATAGCAATCCAGAACACTTCTGCTGGGTTTTGAATGTTAGTAACTCACATACGATTCCAGAACACTGCTGCAAGGTTCTGAGGGTTTTTCCTTCACATAGAATTCCAGAACACTGCTTCTGAGTTCTGAGGGTTTGTACCTCACACAGGATTCCAGAACACTGCTACAAGGGTCTGAATGTTTGTCCCTCACAGAGCATTCCAGAACAGTGCTATGAGGGTCTGAATGCTTGTCCCACACATAGGATTCCAGAACCCTGCTGCAGGGTTCTGAGTGTTTGTCCCTCACATAGGATTCCAAAACACTGCTCTGAGTGTCTGAAAGTTTGTCCCTCAAAAAGGATTCCAGAACACTGCTGCTGGGTTCTGACGGTTTGTCCCTCACATAGAATTCCCGAACACTGCTACTGGGTTCTGAGTGTTTGTCCCTCACATAGGACTACAGAAAACTGCTGCTGTTTTCTGAATGTTTGTCCCTCACATAGGATTTCGGAACACTGCTACGAGGGTCTGAATGTTTCTCCCTCACATAGCATTATAGAACAGTGCTATGAGTGTCTGACTGTTTGTTCCCCACAAAGTATTCCACAACATTGCTGCTGGGTTCTGAGGGTTTGTTCCTCACATGGAATTCCTGAACATTGCTGCTGGGTACTGGGTATTTGTCCCTCACATAGGATTTCAGAACACGACTGCTGGGTTCTGAGTTTTTGTCCCACACCTAGGATTTCAGAACAGTGCTACAAGGGTCTGAATGTTTGTCCCTCGCATAGCATTCCAGAACACTGCTGCTGGTTTCCAAATGTTTTCACTCACATAAGATTCCAGAACACTTCTGATGGGTTCTGTGTGTTTGTACATCATTTAGAATACAAAACACTACTGCTGGGTTTTTAGTGTTTGTCCCTCACATAGGATTCCAGAGCACTGCTGCAGGGTTCTGAGTGTTTGTCCTTCACATAACAATCCAGAACACTGCTGCTGTGTTCCGAGTGTGTGTCCTTCACATAGAATTCCAGAACACTGCTGCTGGGTTCTGAGGGATTGTACCTCACATAGGATTCTAGAACACTGCTACTAGGGTCTGAATGTTTGTCCCTCACATAGCATTCCAGAACAGTGCTATGAGGGTCTGAATGTTTGCACCTCACGTAGGATTCCAGAACACTGCTGCAGGGTTCTGAGTGTTTGTCTCTCACCTAGGATTCCAGAACAGTGTTACAGGGGTCTGAATGTTGCTGCCTCACAAACGATACCAGAACACTGCTGCTGGGTTCAGAGTGTTTGTCCCTCACAAAGGATTCCGGAACACTGGTACCGTTTTCTGAGTGTTTGATCGTCGCATAGGATTCCAGAACACTGACACGAGGGTCCGAATGTTTGTCCCTCACATAGGTTTCCGGAACATAGCTGCTGGGTTCTGAGTGATTGTCCCTCACCTTGGATTCCAGAAAACTGCTGCAGGGTTCTGAGTGTTTGTCCCTCACATAGGAATCCAGAACACTGCTGCTGGGTTCTCTGTGTTCGTCCCTCACATAAGACTCCAGAAGACTGCTGCTAGGTTCTGAGGGTTTGTCCCTCACGTAGAATTCCAGAACACCGCTTCTGGGTTCTGAGGTTTTGTACCTCACTTAGGATTCCAGAACATTGCTAAGAGGGTCTGAATGTTTGACCCTCACATAACATTACAGAGCAGTGCTCGGAGGGTCTGAATGATTGTCCCTCCCGAAGGATTCCGGAACATTGCCGCGGGGATCTGAAAGTTTGTCCCTCACATAGGATTCCAGAAAAAGGCTCCGAGGGTCTGAATGTTTGTTCTTCAGAAAGGATTCCAGAACACAGCTTCTGGGTTCTGAGTGTTTGTCCCTCACATAGGATTCCAGAAAACTACAGCTGGGTTCTGAGTGTTTGTCTCTCACCTAGGATTCCAGAACACTGCTATGAGTTTCTGAATGTTAGGTCCTCACAAACGATTCCAGGACACTGCTGCTAGGTTCAGAATCTTTGCCCCTCACTTAGTATTCCAGAACACTACTAGTGTTTTCTGAGTATTTGTCCTTCACATAGGATTCCAGAACACTCCTACGAGGGTCTGAATGTTTGTCCCTCACAGAGCATTCCAGAACAGTGCTATGAGGGTATGAATGCTTGTCCCACACATAGGATTCCAGAACCCTGCTGCCTGGTTCTGAGTGTTTCTCCCTTACATTGGATTCTGGAACACTGCTGCTGCATACTGAGTGTTTGTCCCTCACATAGCGTTCCAGAACACTGCTGCTTGGTTCTGAGTGTTAGTCCGTTACTTATGATTCCAGAACACTGCTGCTGTATTGTGAGTGTTTGTCCCTTACATAGGATTCCAGAACACTGCAACAAGGGTCTGAATGTTTGTCCCTCACATAGGATTCCAGAACCCTACTGCTGGGTTGTGAGTGTTTGTCACTCATACAGGATTTCAGAACACTTCTGCTGGGTTCTGTGTGTTTGTCCATCAAGTAGGATACAAGAACACTTCTGCTGGGTTTTCAGTATTTGTCCCTCACATGGGATTCCCAAACGCTGCTGCAGGTTTCTGAGTGCTTGTCCCTCACATAGGAATGCAGAACACTGCTGCTGGGTTCTGAGTGTTCGTCCCTCACATAGGATTCCAGAACACTGCAGCTAGGTTCTGAGGGTTTGTCCGTCATGTAGAATTCCAGAACAATGCTGCTGGGTTCTGAAGGTTTGTACCTCACATAGGATCCCAGAACACTGCTACGAGGTTCTGAATGTTTGTCCCTCACAGAGCATTCGAGAACAGTGCTATGAGGGTCTGAATGCTTGTCCCTCACTTAGGATCCCAGAACACTGCTGAAGGGATCTGAATGTTTGTCCGTCACTTTGGATTCCCGAACACTGCTGCTGGGTTCTGAGTGTTTGTCCCTCACTTAGGAGTCCAGAACTCTGCTGCTGGGTTCTGAGTGTTTGTCCCTCATAGAGGATTCCAGACCACTGCTGTTGGGTTCTGAGTGTTTGTCCCTCAAAAAGGATTCGAGAACACGGCTCCAAGGGTATGAAAGTTTGTCTCTCACAAAAGATTGCAGAAAAATGCTGCTGGGTTCTGAGTGTTTGTCCCTCACAAAGTATTCCAGAACACTGCTGCTGTGTTCTGAGCGTTTGTCCCTCACATAGGATTCCAGAAAATTGCTACAAGGTTCTGAATGTTTGTCCATCAGAAAGCACTCCCTATCACTGCTACTGGGTCCTGAGTGTTTGTCCTTCACATAGGATTCCAGAACACTGCTATTGCGTTCTGAGTGTTTGTCCTTCACATAGGATTCCAGAACACTGCTCCGAGGGTCTGAATGTTTGTCCCTCATTTAGGATTCCTGGACACTGCTGCTAGTTTTTGAATGTTTGTGTCTCACATAGGAATCCAGGACACCTCTGCTGGGTTCTGAGTGTTTGTCCCTTATATAGGATACCAGAACACTGCTGCTGGGTTTTGTGTGTTTGCCCTCACATAGCATTCCAGAATACTGCTGCTGGATTCTGAGTGTTAGTCCCTCACATACGATTCCAGAACACTGCTGCAAGGTTCTGAGGGTTTGTCCTTCACATAGAATTCCAGAACACTGCTTTTGACTTCTCAGGGTTTGTACCTCACGCAGGATTCCAGAACACTGCTATGAGGGTCTGAATGTTTGTCCCTCACAGAACATTACAGAACAGTGTTATGAGGGTCTGAATGGTTGTCCCACACATAGGATTCCAGAACCCTGCTGCAGGGTTCTGAGTGTTTGTCCTTCACATAGTATTCCAAAACACTGCTCTGAGTGTCTCAATATTTGTCCCTCACAAAGGATTCCAGAACACTGCTGTTGGGTTCTGAGGCTTTGTCCCTCACATAGAATTCCTGAACACTGCTGCTGGGTTCTGAGTGTTTGTTCCTCACATAGGACAACAGAACACTGCTGCTGTTTTCTGAGTGTTTGTCCCTCACATAGGATTTCAGAATACTGCTATGAGAGTCTGAAAGTTTCTCCCTCACATAGCATTATAGAACAGTGCTATGAGTGTCTGACTGTTTGTCCCCAAAAAGTTTTCCAGAACACAGGTGCTGGGTTCTAAGGGTTTACGTCACATAGAATTCCTGAACACTGCTGCTGGGCTCTGAGTATTTGTCCCTCACATAGGATTCCAGAACAACAGTGCTGGGTTCTGAGTTTTTGTCCCACACCTAGGATTTCAGAACAGTTCTACAATGGTCTGAATGTTTGTCCTTCACAAAGGATTCCAGAACACTGCTGCTGGGTTTTGAGTGTTTGTCACTCTTGTAGGATTCCAGAACACTTCTGATGGGTTCTGTGTGTTTGTCAATCATGTAAGGTACAATACATTACTGCTGGGTTTTTAGTGATGGTCCCTCAGATGGGATTCCAGAGCACTGCTGCAGGGTTCTGATTGTTTGTCCTTCAAATAGGAATCGAGAACACTGCTGCTGTGTTCCGAGTGTTTGTAATTCATGTAGATTTGCAGAATTCTACTGAGTTCTATGGGTTTGTACCTCACATAGGACTCCAGAACACTGCTATGAGGCTCTGAATGTTTGTCCTTCACATAGCGTTCCAGAACAGTGCTATGAGGGTCTGAATGCTCGTCCCTCTCATAGGATTCCAGAGCACTGCTGGGGGGTTTTGAGTGTTTGTCCCTCACATATGATTCCAGAACAATGCTGCGAAGTTCTGAATGTTTGTCCCTCACAAAGGATTTCAGAACACTGCTGCTGGGTTCTGAGTGTTTGTCCCTCACTCAGGATTCCAGAACACTGCAGATGGGTTCTGAGTGTTTATCTCTCACCTAGGATTCCAGAACAGTGCTATGAGGGTCTGAATGTTAGTCCCTCACAAACGATACCAGAACACTACTGTTGGGTTCAGAGTGTTTGTCCCTGACATAGGATTCCAGAACACTACTACTGTTTTCTGAGTGTTTGATCATCACATAAGATTCCAGAACACTGCTACGAGGGTCTGAATGTTTGTTCCACACATAGGATTCCAGAACACTGCAGCTGGGTTCTGAGTGATTGTACCTCACCTAGGATTCCAGAAAACTGCTGCAAGGTTCTGAGTGTCTGTCCCTCATATAGGAATCCAGAACACTGCTGCTGGGTTCTGAGTGTTCATCCCTCACATAGGATTCCAGAACACAGTGGCTGGCTTATGTGTGTTTGTCCATCACATAACATTCCAGAACCCTGCGGCTGGGTTCTGAGTGTTTGTCCCACACATAGGATTCCGGAACGCTGCTGCTGGGTTCTCAGTGTTTTTCCCTCACATAAGATTCCAGAACACTGCTTTGAAGGTCTCATAGTTTGTCCCTCACAAAGGATTCTGGAACATTGCTTCTGGGTTCTGAGTGTCTTTCATTTATGTAGGATTCCAGAACACTGCTGCTGGGTTCTGAGTGTCTGTCCCTCACATGGGATTCCAAAACACTGCAGCTGGTTTCAGAGTGTTTGTCCCTCACATATGATTCCAGAACACTGCTATGAATTTCTGAATGTTTGTCATGCACAAAGGATTCCAGAACACTGCTGCTGGGTTCTCAGTGTTTGTCCCTCAGATAGGATTCCAGAACACTGCTGCTGCGTTCTTAGTGTTTGTCTCTCACATAGGATTTCAGAACACTGCTACGAGGGTCTGAATGTTTCTCCCTCACTTAGCGTTACAGAATAGTGCTCTGAGTGTCTGAATGCTTGTCACTCACAAAAGATTTTAGAACACTGCTGCTGGTTTCGGAGTGTTTGCTCCTCACATAGAATTGCCGAACAATGCTGCCGAGTCCTGGGTATTTCTCCCTCACATAGGATTCCAGAACACTGCTACAGTTTTCTGAGTGTTTGTCCTTCACATAGGATTCCAGAACACTACTACGAGAGTCTGAATGTTTTTCCCTCACAAAGGATTGTAGGACACTGAACCTGGGTTCTGTTTGTTTGTCCCTCAAAAAGGATTACAGAGCGATGCTCCAGATTTCTTAGGGTTTGTCCCTCACATAGGATACCAGAACAATTCTCCGAGGTTCTGAATGTTTGCCCTCAAGTAGGATTCCAGTACACAGTCTCTGGATTCTGAGTGTTTGTCCCTCACATAGGATTCTAGAACACTTCTACGAGATTCTGATTGTTTGTCCCTCACAAAGGATTCTAGAACACTGCTTCTGGGTTCTGAGTGTTTGTCCCTCACAAAGGATTCTAGAACAGTGTTGCTGTGTTCTCTGGGTTAGTTCCTCACATAGGATTCGAGAACACTGCTGCTGGGTTCTGAATGTTTGTCCCTCACATAGGATTCCAGAACACTGCAGCTGGCTTCTGAGTGTTTGTCCCTCACATAGAATTCCAGAACACCGCTATGAAATTCTAAAACTGTGTCGCATACATAGGATTTCAGAACACTGCTGCTTGGTTCTGAGTGTCTGTCCCTCACTTAGGATTCCAGAACACTGCTACGAGGGTCGGAATGTTTATCCCTCACAAAGGTTTCCAGAACAATGCTACTGGGTTCTGAGTGTTTGTCCCTCATGTTGGATTTGAGAACACTGCAGCGAGGGTCTGAATGTTTTTCCCTCACATAGGATTCCAGAAGACTGCTAAGAGATCTGAATATTTTTCCCTCACAAAGGATTGTACAATGCTGCTACTGAGTTCTGTTAGTTTGTCCCACACAAAAGATCCCAGAACACAGCTACAGATTTCTTAGTGTGTGTCCCTCACTTAGGATTCCAGAACACTTCTCAGAGGTTCTGAATGTTTAGCCTCAGATAGGATTCCAGTACATAGTGGTTGGATTTTGAGTGTTTGCCCCTCACATAGGATTCCAGAACAGTGTTACGAGGTTCTGAATGTTTGTCCCTCACAAAGTATTCTAGAACACTTCTGCTGAGTTCTGAGTGTTTGTCCCTCACAAAGGATGCTGGAACACTGCTGCTGGGTTCCGGTGTTTGTCCATCACATAGGATTCCAGAACACTGCTGTTGGTTTCTGAGTGTTTGTCCATCACTTAGGAATCCAGAACACTGCTGCCATCTCAGTGTTTGTCCATGACATAGAAATCCACAACACTGCTACGAAGTTCTGAAAGTTTGTCACACACATAGGATTCCAGAACACTGCTGCTGGGTTCTGAGTGATTGTCCCTCACACAGGATTCCAGAACACTGCTGCTGGGTTCTGAGTGTTTGTCCCTCACACAGGATTCCAGAACACTGCTGCTGGGTTCTGAGTGTTTGTCCCTCACATAAGATTCCAGAACAGTGCTACAAGGGTCTGAATGTTTATCAGTCACAAAGTGTTTCAGATCACTGCTACTGAGCTGTTAGCATTTGTCCCTCATATTGGATTCCAGAACAATATCAAGAGGGTCCGAATGTCTTTCCATCACATAGGTTTCCAGAACACTGTTTCGATAGTTTGAATGTTTTTCCCTACCAAAGGATTCCAGAAGATTGCTGCTGGGTTCTGAGTGTTTGTCCCACATATAGGATTCCAAATCACTGCAACGAGGGTCTGAATGCTTTTCCCTCACAAAGGATTCAAGAACACTGCTAAGATGGTCTGAATGTCTTTCCCTCAGAAAGGATTGTAGAACACTGCTACTGGGTTATGTTTGTTTGCCCCTCACAATGGATTCCAGAGCACTGCTGCAGATTTCTTAGAGTTTGTCCCACACATAGGATTCCAGAACACTTCTATGGGGTTCTGAATGTTTGCCCTCAGCTAGAATTCAAGTACACAATGGCTGGATTCTGAGTGTTTGTCCCTCACCTAGGATTCCAGAACACTGTTACGAGGTTCTGAATGTTTGACTCTCACAAAGGATTCTAGAACAATGATGCTGGGTTCTGAGTATTTGTCCCTCACAAAGGATTCCAGAACACTGCTGATGGGTTCTGAGTGTTTGTCCCTCTCATAGGATTCCAGAACACTGCTGCTGGGTTCTGAGTGTTTGTCCCTCACTTAGGATTCAAGAACACTGCTGCTGGCTTCTCAGAGTTTGTCCCTCACATAGAATTCCAGAACACTGCTAGGAAGTTCAGAAAGTTTGTCGCTCACATGGGATTCCAGAACACTGCTGCTGGGTTGTGAGTGTTTGTTTCTCTCATAGGATTCCAGAACACTGCTTCTGCATTCTGAGTGTTTGTTCCTCACATAGGATTCCAAAACACTGCTACGAGGGTCTGAATGTTTATCCCTCACAAAGGTTTCCAGAACACTGCTAGTGGGTTCTGAGTGTTTGCCCTTATATTGGATTCCAGAACAATGCTACGAGTGTCTGAATGTTTTTCCCTCACATAGGATTCCAGAACACTGTTACGAGGGTGTGAATATTTTCCCTCCTAAAGGATTCCAGAACACTGCTGCTGGGTTCTGAGTGTTTGTCCCTCAGGTAGGATTCCAGAACACAGCTTCTAGGGTCTGAATGTTTTCCCTCACATAGGATTCCAGAACACTGCTACGAGGTTCTGAATGTTTTTCTCTCACAGAGCATTGTAGAACATTGCTACTGGGTTCTGTTTGCTTGTCCCTCACAAAGGAATCCAGAGCACTGCTGCAGATGTCTTAGTTTTTATCCCTCACATACGATTCCAGAACACTTCTATGAGGTTCTGAATGTTTGCACTCATATATTATTCCAGTACACAGTGGCTGGATTCTGAGTATTTGTCCCTCAGATAGGATTCCAGAACACTGCTACGAGGTTCTGAATGTTTGCACTCATATATTATTCCAGTACACAGTGGCTGGATTCTGAGTATTTGTCCCTCAGATAGGATTCCAGAACACTGCTACGAGGTTCTGAATGCTTGTCCCTAATAAAGGATTCTAGAACACTGGGACTGGGTTCGGAGTGTTTGTCTCACAAAGGATTCTAGAACAATAATGCTGGATTCCGAACGCTTGTCCCTCACTTAGGATTCCAGAACACTGCTGCTGGGTTCTGAGTGTTTGTCCATCACTTAGGATTCCAAAACACTGCAGCTGGGTTCTGAGTGTTTCTCCCTCACATAGAATTTCAGAACACTGCTACAAATTTCTGAAAGTTTGCTGCTCACTTAGGATTCCAGAACACTGCTCCTGGGTTCTGAGTGTTTGTCTCTCACTTAGGATTCCAGAACACTGCTGCTGTGTTCTGAGTGTTTGTCCCTCACTTTGGATTCCAGAACACTGCTACGAGGGTCTGAATGTTTATCCCTCACAAATGTTTCCAGAACACTACTACTGGATTCTGAGGGTTTGTCCTTCATATTGGATTCCAGAACAATGCTGCGAATGTCTGAAAGTTTTTCCCTCACATAGGATTCCAGAACTCAGTTACGAGGGTGTGAATGTTTTTCCCTCCCAAAGGATTCCAGAACACTGCTGCTCTGTTCTGAGTGTTTGTCCCTCATATAGGGTTCCAGAACGCTGCTATGAGGATCTGAATGTTTTTCCCTCACAAAGGATTTTAGAACACTGCTACTGAGTTATGTTTTTGGTCCCACATAAAGAATTCCAGGGCACTGCTGCAGACTTCTTAGTGTTTGTCCTTCACATAGGATTCCAGAACACTGTGATGAGGTTTGGAATGTTGGCTCTCAGATAGGATTCCAGTACACTGTGGCTGGATACTGAGTGTTTGTCCCTCACATAGAATTCCAGAACACTGCTACGAGGTTCTGAATGTTTGTCCTTCACAAAGGATTCTAGAACACTTAGTCTGGGTTCTGAGTGTTTGTCCCTCACAAAAGATTCTAGAACATTGCTGCTAGGTTCTGAGGATTTGTATCTCACATAGGATTCCAGAACACTGCTAGGAGGGTCTGAATTTTTGTCCCTCACATAGAATTCCAGAACACTGCTGCTGATTTCTCACTGCTTGTCCCTCACATAGAATTCCAGAACATTGCTACGAAATTCAGAAAGTTTGTCACTCACATAGGATTCCAGAACACTGCTGCTGGGTTCTGAGTGTTTCTCCCTCTCATAGGATTCCAGAACACTGCTGCTGGGTTCTAGTGTTTGTCCCTCACATAAGATTGCAAAACACTGCTACGAGGTTCTGAATGTTTATCCCTCATAAAGGTTTCCAGGAAACTGCTGCTGGGTTCTGAGTGGTTGCCCTCATATTGTCTTCCAAAACAATGGTACGAGTGTCTGAATGTTTTTCCCTCACCTAGGATTCCAGAACACTGTTATGAGGGTGTGAAAGTTTTTCCCTCCTAAAGGATTACAGAACACTGCTGTCGGGTTCTGAGTGTTTGTCCCTCACAAAAGATTCTAGAACACTTCTGCTGGGTTCTGTGTGTTTGTCCATCACATATGATTCAGGAACACTGCTGTTGGTTTCTGAATGTTTGTCCCTCACTTAGGAATCCAGAACACTGCTGCTGGCTACTGAGTGTTTGTCCATAACATAGAAATCCAGAACACTGCTATGAAGTTCTGAACGTTTGTTGCTCATATAGGATTCCAGAAGACTGTGGCTGTGTTCTGAGTGTTTGTCCCTCACATAGGATTCCAGAACACTGCTGCTGGGTTCTGAGTGTTTGTCCCCCGCATAAGATTCCCGAACAGTGCTACAAAGGTCTGAATGTTTATCCCTCACAAAGCATTTCAGAACACTGCTACTGGGTTCATAGCATTTGTCCCTCATATTGGATTCCAGAACAATAATATGAGGGTCTGAATATCTTTCTATTACATAGGAATCCAGAACACCGTTTCGAGGGTGTGAATGTTTTCCCCTCCCAAAGGATTGCAGAAGACTGCTGCTGGGTTCTGAGTGTTTGTCCCACATATAGGATTCCAGATCACTGCTACGAGGTTCTGAATGCTTTTCCCTCAGATAGGATCCCAGAAGACTGTTATGAGGTTCTGAATGTTTTTCCCTCACAAAAGGATTGAAGAACACTGCCACTGGGTTCTGACTGTTTTTCCCTCAAAAAAGATTCCAGAGCAGTGCTGCAGATTTCTTACTGTTTGTCCCTCACATAGGATTCCAGAACACTTCTGTGAGGTTCTGAATGTTTGCCCTCGGATAGGATTCCAGTACACAGTGGCTGGATTCTGAGTGTTTGTCCCTCACATAGGATTCCAGAACACTGCTACAAGGTTATGAATGCTTGTCACACAAAAAAGATTCTAGAACACTGCTGCTGATTTCTGAGTGTTTGTGCCTCACAAATAATTCTAGAACACTACTGCTGAGTTCTGAGTACTTGTGCCTCACATAGGATTCGAGAACACTGCTGCTGGGTTCTGAGTGTTTGTCCCTGACTTAGGATTCCAGAACACTGCTTCTTGGTTCTGAGTGTCAGTCCCTCACATAGAATTCCAGAACAGGCTATGAAGTTCTGAAAGTTTGTCGCTTACATAAGATTCCAAAACACTGCTGCTGGATTCTGAGGGTTTGTCCCTTGCATAGGATTCCACAACACTGCTGCTGTGTTCTGAGGATTTCTCCCTCACGTAGGATTCCAGAACACAGCTACGAGGTTCTGAATGTTTATTCCTCACAAAGGTTTACAGAACACTGCTATGGGGTTCTGAGTGTTTTTCCCTCATATTGGATTCCAGAACAATGCTGCGAGTTTCTAAATGTTTTCCCCTCATATAGGATTCGAGAACACTGTTACGAGGGTGTGAATATTTTTCCCTCCCAAATAATTCCAGAACACTGTTGCTGTGTTCTGAGTGTTTTTCCCTCATATAGGATTCCAGAACAGTGCTACAAGGTTCTGAATGTTTTTCCCTCACATAGGATTCCAGAAGACTGCTATGAGGGTCTGAAAGATTTTCCCTCACTAAGGATTGTAGAACACTGCAACTGGGTTCTGTTTGTACCTCACAAAGGATTTCAGAGCACTGCTGCAGATTTCTTAGTGTTATTCCCTCACATAGGATTCCAGAACACTTCTACGACGTTCTGAATGTTTGTGCTTGGATAGGATTCCAGTACACAATGGCTAGATTCTGAATATTTGTCCCTCACATAGAATTTCAGGACACTGCTACGAGTTTCTTAATGTTTCTCCCTCACAAAGGATTACAGTACACTGCTGCTGGGTTCTGAGTGTTTGTCCCTCACATTGGATTCCAGAACACTGATGCTGGGTGCTGAGTGTTTGTCTCTCAGTTAGGATTCCACAACACTGCTGCTGGGTTCTGAGTGTTTGTCCCTCACATAGAATTCCAGAACACTGCTACAAATTTCTGAGAGCTTGTCTCCACATAGGTTTCCAGAACACTGCTGCTTTTTTCTGAGAGTTTGTCCCTCACATAGGATTCCAGAACACTGCTGCTGGGTTCTGAGTGTTTGTCCCACACATAGGATTCCAGAACATTGCTACGAGGGTCTGAATGTTTATGCCCAACAAAGGGTTCCAGAACACTGCTACTGGGTTCTGAGTGTTCATACTTCATATTGGATTCCAAAACAATGCTATCAGGATCTGAATCTTTTTCCCTCACATAGGATTCCAGAATACTTTAACGAGGGTGTGAATATTTTTCCCTCCCAAATGTTTCCAGAACACTGCTGCTGGGTTCGGAGTGTCTGTCACTCATATAGAACTCCAAAACACTGCTACAAGGGTCTGAATATTTTTCCCTCACATAGGATTCCAGAACCCTGCTACGAGGGTCTGAATGTTTTTCCCTCACAAAGGACTGATCAACACTGCTACAGGGTTCTGTTTGCTTGTCCCTCCAAAGGATTCCAGAGCACTGTTGCAGATTTCTTAGTGTTTGTCCCTCATAGGATTCCAGAACACTTCTCTGAGGTTCTGAATATTTGCCCTCAGATAGGATTCCAGTGCACGGTGGCTGGATTCTGAGTGTTTGTCCCTCACATAGGATTCCACAGCACTGCTGCTGGCTTCTGAGTGTTTGCCCCTCACATAGAATTCCAGAACACTGCTACGAAGTTCTGAAAGTTTTTCGCTCACTTAGGTTGCCAGAACACTGCTGCTGGGTTCTGAGTATTTGTCCTACACATAGGATTCCAGAACACTGCTGCTGGGTTCTGACTGTTTGTCCCTCACATAGGATTCCAGAAGACTGCTACAAGGGTCTGAATGTTTATCCCTCAGAAAGGGATTCAGAACCCTGCTACAAGGATCTGAGTGTTTTTCCCTCACATAGGATTCCAGAACACTGTTATGAGAGTGTGAGTGTTTCTCCCTCCCAAAGGGTTTCAGAACACTGCTAATGGGTTCTGAGTGTTTCTCCCTCGTACAGGATTCCAGAACTCTGCCACGATGTTCTGAAAGTTTTCCCCTCACATAGGATTCCAGAACACTGCTACGAGAGTCTGAATGTGTTTCCCTCACAAAGGATTGTAGAACAGTGCTACTGTGTTCTGTGTGTTTGTCCCTCACAAAGGATTCCAGAGCAGTGCTGCAGATTTCTTAGTGTTGTCCATCAGATAGGATTCCAGAACACTTCTACAAGGTTCTGAGTGTTTGCCCTCAGATAGGATGGCAATTCTCATTGGCTGGATTCTGACTGTTTGTCCCTCACATGGGATTTCAGAACACAGCTACGATGTTCTGAATGTTTGTCCCTCACAAAGGATTCCAGAACACTACTGCTGGGTTCTGAGTGTTTGTCCCTCACAAAGGATTCTACAACACTGCTGCTGGGTTCTGTGTGTTTGTCCCTCACATAGAATTCCAGAACACTGCTGCTTTTTTATGAGTGTTTCTCCCTCACATAGGATTCTAGAACTCTGCTGCTGGCTTCTGAGTGTTTGTCCCTCTAATAGAATTCCAGAACAGTGCTACGAAGTTCTGAAATTATATCACTCACATAGGATTCCTGAACACTGCTAGGAATGTCTGAATGTTTATCCCTCACAAAGGGATCCAGAACACTGCTATTGGGTTCTGAGTGTTTGTCCCTCATATGGGATTAAAGAATAATGCTACGAGGTTCTGAATGTTTTTCCCTCATAGAGAATGTAGAACACTGCTACCGGATTCTGTTGTTTGTCCCTCAGAAAGGATTATAGAACAGTGCTGCAGATTTCTTAGTGTTTGTCCCTCACATAGAATTCCAGAACACTTCTACGAGGTTCTGAATGTTTGCCGTCGATAGGATTCCAGTACACAGTGGCTGGATTCTGAGTGTTTGTCCCTCACATCGCATTCCAGAACTCTTCTACAAGTTTCTGAATGTTTGTACCTAACAAAGGATTCTAGAACACTGCTGCTGCATTCTGAGTGTTTGTCCCTCACAAAGGATTCTAGAGCACTACTACTGTTTCCTGAATGTTTGTCCCTCACATAGGATTCCAGAACACTGCTGCTGGGTTCTCAGTGTTTGTCCCTCATATATGATTCCAGAAAACTGCTACGAGGGTCAGAATGTTTTTCTCTGACATAGGATCCAAGAACACTGCTAGGAGGTTCTGAGTGTTTTTCCCTCCCAAAGGATTCCGGTACACTGCTGCTGGTTTCTTAGAGTTTGTCCCTCACAAAGGATTCCAGAACACTTCTATGAGGGTGTGAATGTTTGACCCTCAGATAGGACTCCAGTACTCAGTGGCTGCATTGTGAGTGTTTGTTCCTCACATAGGACTCAAGAACACTGTTGCTGGGTTCTGAGTGTTTGTCCCTCACATAGGATTCCAGAACACTGCTGCTGGGTTCTGAGTGTTCCTCACTCACATAGGATTCCCGAGAGATGTTACGAGGATGTGAATGTTTGTCTGTCAGAAAGAATTGCAGAACACTCCTGTTGTGATAAGAGTGTTTGTCCCTCACATTGGATTCCAGAACACAGCTTCTAGGGTCTGAATGTTTGTCCCTCACAAATGATTCCAGAACACTGCTGCTGGTTTTTGAGTGTTTGTCACTCACATAGGATTCTAGAACACTGCTGCTGGGTTCTGAGTGTTTGTCCCTCACATCAGATTCCAGAACAATGTCATTGGCTTCACAGTATTTGTCCCTCACATATGATTCCAGAACACTCCTATGAGGTTCTGAATGTTTCTTCCTCACAAAGGATTCCAGAACACTGCTGCTTTGTTCTGAGTGTTTGTCGCTGACATAGGATTCCAGAAAAATTGCTGCTGGGTTCTGAGTGTTTGTCCCTCACATAGGATTCCAAAACAGTGCTACGAGGCTCTGAAGGTTTGTCCCTCACATAGGATTCCAGAACACTGGTTCGAGAGTCTGAATATTTGTCCCTCACAAAAAATTACAGACAACTGCTGCTGGGTTGTTAGAGTTTGTCCCTCACTTAGGATTCCAGAACACTTATTTTGGGTTCTGAATCTTTGTCCTTCACATAGGATACCACAACAGTGCTGCTAACTTCTGAGTGATTGTCCGGCACATAGGATTCCAGAACACTGCTATGAGGGTCAGAATGTTTTTCCCTCACAAAGGCTTCCAGAACACTGTTGCTGGTTTCTGTTTGTTTGTCTCTCAAAAGTGATTCCGGAACACTGATGCTGGTTTTTCAGTGTTTGTCCTGCACATAGGATTCCAGAACTCTTCTGCAAATTTCTGAACATTTGTCCCTCAGATAGGATTCCACTGCACAGTGGCTGGTTTCTGAGTGTTTGTCTCTCACGTAGGATTCCAGGACACTGCTGCTGGGTAATGAGTTTTTGTGCCTCACAAAAGATTCCATAAAACTGCTACGATGGTCTCAAAGTTTGTCTATCACAAAGCATTTCAGAACAATGCTGCTTGATCTGATTGTTTGTCCCTCACAAGGAATAACAGAATACTGCTGCTGATTTCTGAGGGTTTGTACCTCACATAGTATTCCAGAACAATGCGACGAGGGTCTGAATGTTTGTCCCTCACAGAGAATTCTAGAACAGTGCTATGAGGGTCTGAATGCTTGTCCCTCACATTGGAATGCAGAACACTACTGCAGGGTTCTGAGTGTTTGTCCGTCTCATAGGATTCCAGAGCACTGCTCTGAGGGTATCAGTATTTGACTCTCACAAAGGATTCTAGAACACTGCTACTGGGCTCTGAGTGTTTGTCACTAACATGGGATTCCAGAACACTGCTGCAGCATTCTTAGTGTTTGTCTCTCACATAGGATTCGAGAACACTGCTATGAAGGTCTGAATGTTTGTCCCTCACAAACGATTACAGAACACTGCCACTGGGTTCTAAGTGTTTGTCCCTCACATTAGATTCCAGAACACTGCTGCTCGGTTCTGAGGGTTTGTTCCTCACATAGGATTCCAAAACACTGCTGCTGGGTTCTGACTGTTTGTCCCTCACATAGGATTTCAGAACACTGTTAAGATTGTCTGAATGTTTGTCCCTCACAAAGTATTCCGGAACACTGCTGCTGTGTTCTGAGTGTTTGTCCCTCACATAGGATTCCAGAAGATTGCTGCTGCATTCTGAGTGTTTGTCCCTCACATAGGATTCCACAAAACTGCTACGAAGGTCTGAATGTTTGTCCCTCAGATAGGATTCCAGAATACTGCAATGAGGGTCTGAATCGTTGTCCCTCACATAGGATTCTGTCACTCCTATGAGTGTCTGAAAGCTGAGCTCTCCCATAGGATTCCAGAAAACTTCTACTGGGTTCTCAGTGTTTTTCCTCACATAGGATTTCAGAACACTGCTGCTGCATTCTGAGTGTTTGTCCCTCAGATAGGATTCCAGAACACTGCTGCTGGGTTCTGAGTGTTTGTCCCTCATATAGAATTCTAGAACAATGCTGCTGGGTTCTGAGGGTTTGTCCCTCATATAGAATTCCAGAACACAGCTGATATGTTCGGAGTGTTTGTTCCTCACCTAACATTCCAGAACACTGTTGCTGTGTTCTGAGTGTTTGTCCCTCACTTTGTATTCCAGAACTCCGCCTCTAGGTTCTGAGGCTTATCCTTCACATCGAATTCCAGAACACTGCTGCTCCATTCTGAGGATTTGTACCTCACATAGGATTCCAGAACACTGCTAGGAGGGTCTGAATTTTTGTCCCTCACATAGAATTCCAGTGCAGTGCTATGAGGTTCTGAACGCTTGTCCCTCACATAGGATTCCAGAACACTGCTGCAGGGTTCCCTGTGTTTGTCCTCCACATAGGATTACAGAACACTGCTGCTGGGTTCTGAGTGGTTGTCCCTCACATTGGATTGCAGAACACTCCTCGTGGGTACTGAGTGTTTGTCCCTCACTTAGGACACCCGAACACTGTTGCTGTGTTCTGAGGGTTTGTCCCTCACAGAGGATTCCAGACCACTGCTGCTTTGTTCTGAGTGTTTGACCCTCACATAGTATTCCAGAACACTTCTACAAGTGTCTGAATGTTTGTCCCTCAGATAGGATTCCAGAATACAGTGGCTGGGTTATGAGGGTTGTCCCTCACATAGAATTCCAGAACACTGCTGCCAGGTTCTGACTGTTTGTCCCTCAAATAGGATTCCAGAGCCCAGCTTCTGGGTTCTGAGTGTTTATCCCTCACATACGATTCCAAAACACTGCATCGAGGGTCTGAAAGTTTGTCCCACACAAAGGATTCTAGAACACTGCTTCTGCGTTCTGAATGATTTTCACTCACATAGGATTACAGAACACTGCTGCTGGGTTCTGAGTGTTTGTCCCTCACATGGGATTTGAAAACACTGCTGCTGGGTTCAGAGTGTTTGTTCCTCACATAGGATTACCGAACACTGCTACTGGGTTCAGAGTGTTTGTCCCTCACATGGGATTTGAAAACACTGCTGTTGGGTTCAGAGTGTTTGTCCCTCACATAAGATTCCAGAACACTGCTACGAGGTTCTGAATGTTTGTCCTTCAAAAAGGATTCTAGAACACTGCTGCTGGGTTCTGAGTGTTTGTCCCTCACATAGGATTCCAGAACACTGCTGCTGGGGGTGAGTGTTTGTCCCTAACATAGAATTCCAGAACACTGCTATGAGGGTCTGAATGTTTCTCTTCAGAAAGGATTCCAGAACACTGCTACAAGGTTCTGAATGTTTGTCCCTCACAAGAGATTTCATAACACTACTTCTGGGTCCTGAGAGGTTTTCCCTCACATAGGATTCCAGACTACTGCTGCTGTGTACTGTTTGTTTGTCCCTCACAAATGATTCGAGAGCACTGCTGCTGTTTTCTGAGTGTTTGTCCCTCATACAGGTTTCCAGAACACTTTTTCCCGTGTCTGAATGTTTGTACCTCACATAGGATTCCAGAACAGAGTGGCTGGGTTCTGAGTGTTTTTCCCTCATATAGGATTCCAGAACACTGCTGCTGCATTCCGAGTATTTGTTCCTCTCATAGGATTCCAGAACCCTACTGCGGGGTTCTGAGTGTTTTTCCCTCACATAGGATTCTAGAACCCTACTGCGGGGTTCTGAGTGTTTTTCACTCACATAGGACTCTAGAACACTGCTCCGCGGTTCTGAGTGTTTTTCACTCACATAGGATTCTAGAACACTGCTCCTGCATTCTGAGTGTTTGTCCCTCACATAGGATACCAAAACACTGCTGCAACGGTCTGAATGTTTGTCTGACACAAAGGATTCTAGAAAATTTCTACTGGGTTCTGAGGGTTTGTCCCACACATAGGATTCCAGAACACTGATTCGAGGGTCTCAAGGTTTGTCCCTCACAAAGGATTGTCGAACACTGCTGCTGGGTTCTGAGTGTTTGTCACTCACATAGGATTCCAGAACACTGCTGATGGGTTCTGAGTGTTTGTGCCTCACAGGTTATTCCAAAACACTGCTGCTGTGTTCACATTGTTTGTCCCAAACTTATGATTTGAGAACACTGCTGAGAGGTTCTGCATGTTTGTCCCTCACAAAGGACTCTAGAACACTGCTGCTGGGTTCTGAGTGTTTGCCCCTCACAAAGATACTGGAACACTGCTGTTGTGTTCGGAGTGTTTGTCACTCACGTAGGATACCAGAACACTGCTGATGGATTCTGAGAGTTTGTCCCTCACATAGGATTCCAGCACACGGCTGCTGGGTTCTGAGTGTTTGTCCCTCACTTACGATTCCAGAGCACTGCTGCTGTGTTCTGAGTGTTTGCCCTCACATAGAATATCAGAACATTGCTACAAAGTTTTGAATGTTTGTTGCTCACATAGGATTCCAGAACACTGCTGCTGGGTTCTGAGTGTTTGTCCCTCACATAGGATTCCAGAACACTGCTACGAGTGTTTGAATGTTTTTCCCTCACAATTATTCTGGAACACTGCTGCTGGGATCTGTATGTTTGTCCCTCACAAAGGATTCTAGAGCACTGCTGCTGGTTTCCTGTGTTTGTCCCTCACATAGGATTCCAGAACACTTCTACGAATGTCTGAATGTTTGTCCCTCAGATTCGACTCCAGTTCACAGTTACTGTGTTCCGAGGGGTTGTCCCTCAAATAGGATTCCAGAACACTGCTGCTGGGATCTGAGTCTGTGTCCCTCACATGAGATTCCAGAATACAGCTTTTGGGTTCTGAGTGTTTGTCCCTCATTTTGGATTCCAGAACAATGCTACGAGGGTCTGAATGTTTTTCCCTCACGTGGGATTCCAGAACACTGCTGCTGGGTTCTGAGGGTTTGTCCCTCATGTAGGATTCCAGGACACTACTACGAGGGTTTGAATGTTTTTCCCTAACATCGAATCACAGAACACTGATAGGAGGTTCTGAGTGTTTTTCCCTCCCAAAGGATTCCAGAGCACTGCTGCTGGTTTCTTAGAGTTTGTCCCTCACATAGGACTCCCGAACACTTCTACGAGGGTGTGAATGTTTGTCCCTCAGATAGTATTCCAGTACACTGTGGCTGGGTTTTGAGTGTTTGTGCCTCACATGGGATTGAAGGACACTGCTGCTGGGTTCTGAGTGTTTGTCACTCACATAGGATTCCAGAACACTGCTGCTGGGTTCTGAGTGTTTATCCCTCACATCAGATTCCAGAACAATGCCGTTGGCTTCACAGTATTTGTCCCTCACATATGATTCCAGAACACTCCTATGATGTTCTGAATGTTTGTCCCTCACAAAGGATTCCAGAACACTGCTGCTGGATTCTCTGTGTTTGTCCCTCACGTAGGATTGCAGAACACTGCTTTGAGTGTCTGAATGTTTCCCCTCACTAAGGATTCTAGAACACTGCTGCTTTGTTCTGAGTGTTTGTCACTCACATAGGATTCCAGAACACACCTGCTGGTTTCTGAGTGTTTGTCTCTCACATGGGAATGCAGAACACTGCTCCTGGTTTAAGAATGTTTGTCCCTCACATAGCATTCCAGAACACTGCTGCGAGATTCTGAATGTTTTTCCCTCACAAAGGATTCCATAACACTACTGCTGGGTTCCGAGTTTTTGAGCCCCACATAGGATTCCAGAACACTGCTGCTGTGTTCTGTTTGTTTGTCTCTCACAAAGGATTACAGAGCACTGCTTCTGGGTTCTGAGTGTTTTTTCCTCACATAGGATACAGAACACTGCTGCAGGTTTCTGAGTGTTTGTCACTAACATAGGATTCGAAAACACTGCTGCTGAGTTCTGTATGTTTGTCCATCACAAAGGATTCCTGAGAACTGCTTCTGGTATCTGAGTGTTTCCTCCTCACATAGGATTCCAGAACAATTCTACGAGTGCCTGAATGTTTGGTCCTCAGGATTCCAGAACACAGTGGCTGGAATGTGACTATTTGTCCTCCACATAGGATTCCAGAATACTGCTACTTATATCTGAATGTTTGTCACTCACATACGATTTCAGAACACTGATGCTTGGTTCTGAATGTTTGTCACTCACATAGGATTCCAGAAAAGTGCTACGAGGTTCTGAATGTTTGTCCATCACAAAGGATTCCAGAACAATGATGCTGGGATCTGAGTGTTTGTCCCTCACATAGGATTTCAGAACTCTGCTTCGATGTTCTGAATTTTTTTCCCTCAATGAGGATTCTAGAACACTTCTGCTGGTTCCTTAGTATTTGTCCCTCACATAGGATTCCAGAACACAGCAAAGAGGGTCTGAATATTTGCCCCTCACAAAGGATTCCAGAAAACTGCTACTGCATTCTGAGTGTTTGTCCCTCACAAAGGATTGCAGAGCATGGTGCTGAATTCTGAGTGTTTGTCCCTCACATAGGATTCCAGAACACAGTGTCTGGGTTCTGAGTGTTTGTCTATCCCATAGGATTCCAAAACACTGGTACGAGGGTCTGAATGTTGGTCTAATCCAAAGTTTCCAGAACACTGCTGCTGGGTTCTGAGTTTTTGTCCCTCACATAGGATTCCAGAACACTGCTTTGAGGATATGAATGTTTGTCCCTCATGAAGGATTCTAGAACACTGCTTCTGGGTTTTGAGTGTTTGTCCCTCAATAGGATTCCAGAACACTGCTCCTGGGTTCTGAGTGTTTGTCTCTCACTTAGGATTCCAGAACAGTGCTATAAGATTCTGAATGTTGGTCCCTCAGAAAGTATTCCAGAACACTGCTGCTGGGTTCTGAGTGTTTGTCCCTCACATGGGATTCCAGAACACTGCTGCTGGGTTCAGAGTGTTTGGCCCTCACATAATAATCCAGAACACTGCTTTGAGGTTCTGAATGTTTGTCCCTCACAAACGATTACTGAACACTGCTGCTGGGTTCTGAGTGGCCCTCACATAATATTCCAGAACACTGCTTTGAGGTTCTGAATGTTTGTCCCTCACAAACGATTACTGAACACTGCTGCTGGGTTCTGAGTGTTTGTTCCTCACATAGGATTCCAGAGACTCCTACGAGTGTCTGAAAGTTTGTCCCTCAGATAGGATTCCAGAACACAGTGGCTGGGTTCTGAGTGTTTGTCCCCCACATAGGATTCCAGAACACTGCTACGAAGTTCTGAATGTTTGTCGCTCACATAGGATTTCACATCACTACTGCTGGGAATTGAGGGTCTGTCCCTCACATAGTAGTCCGGAACACTGCTGTCGTCTCTGAGTGTGTGTTTCTCACACAGCATTCCAGAACATTGCTACGAGGGTCTTTATATATTTACCTCACAAAGGATTCCAGAACTCTGCTTCTCGGTTCTGTTTATTTGTCCCTCACAAATGTTTCCATAACACAGCTGCTGGTTTCTGAGTGTTTCTCCCTCACATAGGCTACCAGAACACTTCTACGAGTGTCTGAATATTGTCCCTCAGGTAAGATTCCAGAACACAGTGGCTTGGTTCTGAGGGTTTGTGCCTCACATAGGATTCCAGAACACTGCTGCTGGGTACTTAGTGTTTGTCGCTCACATAGGATTCCAGAACACTGCTACTGATTTCTGCGTGTTTTTCCTCACATATGATTCCAGAACACTGCTGCAGGTTTCTGAGTGTTTGTCCCTCACTTACGATTACAGAACACTGCTATGAGTGTCTGAATGTTTGTCCCTAACAAAGGATTCCAGAACAATGCTTTGAGGATATGAATATTTGTCCGTCACAAATGATTCCACAACACTGCTGCTGGGTTCTTAGTGTTTGTCCCTCACTTAGGATTGCATAACACTGCTACGAAATTCTGAATGTTTGTCCCTAAGAAAGGATTCCAGAACAGTGCTGCTGTGTTCTGAGTGTTTGTCACTCCTGAATGATTCCAGATCACTGCTGCTGGTATCCGAGTGTTTGTCCCTCACATAGGATTACAGAACACTTCTACGAGTGTTCGAATGTTTGTCACTCAGACAGGATTCTGGAACACAGTGGCTGGGTTCTGAGTGTTTGTCCCTTGCATAGGATTCCAAAACACTGCTGCTGGGCTCTGAGTGTTTGTCACTCACATAGGATTCCAGAACCCAGCTGCTGGATTCTGAGTGCTTGTCACTCAGATACGATTCCAGAACACTGCTTCGAGGGTCTGAAACTTTGTCTCTCATAAAGGATTCTAGAACACTGCTTCTGGGTTCTGAGTGTTTTTCACTCATAAAGGATTCCAGAACATGGCTATGAAGTTATGAATCTTTGTTGATCACACGGTATTCCAAGACACTGCTGCTGTGTTCTGAGTGTTTTTTCCTCACATAGGATTCCACAACACTGCTGCTGAGTTCTTGTTGTTTTTCCCTCACATAGGATTCGAGAACACGGCTACGAGGGTCTGAATGTTTGCCCATCACAAAGGATTCCTGAACACTGCTGCTGGGTTCTGAGTGTTTGTCCCTCACAAAGGATTGGAGGACACTTCTGTTGGGTACTGAGTGTTTGTCCCCCACAAATGAATCCAGAGCACTGTTGTTGGTTTTTGAGTGTTTGTCCCTCACATAGTATTCCAGAACACTTCTTTGAGTGACTGAATGTTTGTCCCTCACATAGTATTCGAGAACACAGGGGATGAAAACTTAGTGTTTGTCCCTCAATAGGATTCCAGAACGCTGCTGCTGGGTTCTGAGTGTTTGTCCGTCATATACGATTCCAGAACACTGCTTCAAGGTTCTGAAGGTTTTTCCCTCACAACGGATTCTAGAACACTGCTGCTGGGTTCTGAGTGTTTTTCACTCACATAGGATTCCAAAACACTGCCATGAGGTTCTGAACATTTGTCCCTCATAAAGGATTCCAGAACACTGCTGCTGGGTTCTGAGTGTTTGTGCCTCACAAAGGATTCTAGAACACTCCTGCTTGGTTCTGAGTGTTTGTCCCTCACATAGGATTCCAGCACACTGCTGTTGGGTTCTGAGTGTTTGTCCCTCAAATAGGATTCCAGCACACTGTTATTGGGTTCTGAGTGTTTGTCACTCACCTAGGATTCCAGAACACTGCTGCTGGGTTCTGAGTGTTTGTCCCTCTCTTAGGAATCCAGAACAATACTGCTGTTTTCTGAGTGTTTGAGGCTGACATAGAATTCCAAAACACAGCTGCTGAGTTTTGTATGTTTGTTCCTCACAAAGGATTCCTGAGCACTGCTTCTGGTTTCTGAGTGTTTGTCCCTCAGTTTGGATTCCAGAATACTTCTACGACTGTCTGAATGTTTGTCCCTCAGATAGGATTCCAGAACACACTGGCTGGGTTCTGAACGTTTGTCCCCCACATAGGATTCCAGAATACTGCTACTAATATCTGAAAGTTTGTTGCTCACATACGATTTCAGAACACTGCTGCTGGCTTCTGAAGGTTTGCGACTCACATAGGATTCTAGGAAACTGCTACTGGGGTCTGAATGTTTGTCCATCCAAAGGATTCCAGAACACTGCTGCTGGGATCTGAATGGTTGTCTCTCACATAGGATTCCACAACCCTCCTTCGTTTTTCTGAATATTTGTCCCTCACAGAGGATTCTAGAACACTGCTTCTGGTTTCTTAGGGTTTGTCACTCACATAGGATTCCAGAACAATGCTGCTGGGTTCTGAGTGTTTGTCCCTAACTTGGGATTCCAGAACACTGCTGCTGAGTTCAGAGTGATTTTCCCTCACATAGGATTCCAGAAAACTGGTGCTGGGATCTGAGAGCTTGTCTCTGTCAACGAGTTCCAGAACACTGCTGCTGTGTTCAGAGCGTTTGTCCCTCACATAGGATTGCAGAATACTGCTGCTAGTTTCTGAGGGTTTGTCCCTCACTAGAATTCTAGAACTCTCCTGCTGTGTTCTGAGGGTTTCTCCAACACATGGGATTCTGAAACACTGCTACAAGGGTCAGTAAGTTTGTCGGTCACAACGGATTCCAGAGCACCGCTAGTGGGTTCTCAATGTTTGTCCCTCACATCGGATTGCAGAACACAGTTGCTATGTTCTGAGTGTTTGTCCCAAACATAGGATTCCAGAACTCTGCTTGGAGGGTCTGAAAGTTTTTTCCTCACCAAGGATTCCGGAACACTGCTGGGTTCTGAATGGTTGTCCCTCACCTACGATTCCAGAACAATGCTGGGATGGTCTCAAAGTTTGTTCCTCAGAAGGCATTCTGTATTACTGCTACGAGTGTCTGAATCCTTGTCTCTCACATAGGATTCCAGAGCACTGATACTGGGTTCTGAGTGTTTGTCCTTCACATAGGATTCCAGAACACTGCTCCGAGAGTCTGAATGTTTGTCCCTCACATAGGATTCCAAAACACTGCTGCTGGTTTGTGAGTGTTTGTCCCTCACATAGGATTCCAGAACAATTCTGCTGGGTTCTGAAAGTTTGTCCCTCATATAGGAAACCAGAACACTGCTGCTGGGTTTTTTGTGTTTGTCCCTCACATAGCATTCCAGAACACTGCTGCAGGGTTCTGAGTATTGGTCCCTCACATGGGATTCCAGAATACTGCTGCTAGTTTCTGAGGGTTTGTCCCTCACATAGAATTCAAGAACACTGCTGCTGAGTTCTGAGGGTTTGTGCCTCACATAGGATTACAGAATACTGCTACGAGGGTCTGAATGTTTGTCCCTCACAGAGCACTCCAGAACAGTGCTTTGAGGTTCTCAATTATTGTCCCTCACATAGGATTCCAAAACACTGCTGCGGGGTTCTGAGTGTTTGTCCCTCACTTAGGATTCCAAAACAGTGTTCTGAGTGTCTGAATATTTGTCCCTCACGTAGAATTCCCTTACACTGCGGCTGGGTTCTGAGTGTTTGTCCCTCACATAGGATTCCAGAACACTGCTGCTGTTTTCTGAGTGTTTGTCCCTCACATAGGATTTCAGAACACTGATACGAGGGTCTGAATGTTTTTCCCTCATATAGCATTACAGGACAGTGCTATGAGTGTCTGAATGTTTGTCCTCACAAAGGATTTTATAACACTGCTGCTTCTTTCTGAGGGTTTGTCCCCCACATAAAATTCCCAAACAGTTGCTGGGTTCTTGCTATTCGTCCTTCACATAGGATTCCAGAACACTGCTGCTGGTTTCTGTGTATGACCCTCACATATAATTCCAGAACACTGCTAGGAGGGTCTGAATGTTAGTCCCTCACAAAGGATTCCAGAACACTGCTGCTGGGTTGTGAGTGTTTATCACTCACTTAGGATTCCAGGACACTTTGTCAGGGTTCTGTGTGTTTGTGCATCATGTGGGATACAAGAACACTGCTGCTGTGTTTTTAATGTTTATCAATCACATAGGATTCCAGAACACTACTGCAGGGTTCTGAGTGTCTGTCCCTCACATAGGAATCCAGAAAACTGCTGCAATGTTCTGAGGGATTGTCCCTCACGTAGAATTCCAGAACACACATGCAGGGTTCTGATGGCCTGTGGCTCACATACGATTCTAGAATCCTGCTACGAGGGTCTGAATATCTGTCCTTCACAGAGCATTCCAAAACAGTGCTATGAGGGTCTGAAAGCTTGTCCCTCACATAGGATTCCAGAACACTGCTGCAGGTTTCTGAGCTTTTGTCCCTCACATTGGATTCCACAACAATGCTCCGAGGGTTTGAATGATTGTCCTTCACAAAGGATTCCAGAAATCTGCTGCTGGGTTCTGCTTGTTTGTACCTCACAAGGCAATCCAGAGCACTGCTTCTGGTTTCTGAAGGTTTGTCCTTCAAATAGGATACCACCACACTGCTACGACAGTCTGAATGTTTGTCCGTGACAAATGAATCCAGAACACTGTTGCAGGGTTCCGAGTGTTTGTCCCTCACGTAGGATTCCAGAACACAGCTGCGGATTTCGGAGTGTTTGTCCCTCACATGGGACTCAAAAACACTGCTGCTGCTCGGTTCACAGTTGTCCCTTACATACGATTGCTGAACACTGGTATGAGGTTCTGAATGCTTGTCCCTCACAAAGGATTCCAGAACACTGCTGCTGGGTTCTGAGTGTTTGACACTCACATAGCATTCCAGAACACTGCTGCTGGGTTCTGAGTGTTTGTCCTTCACATAGGATTGAAGAACACTGCAGCTGGGTTCTGAGTGTTTGTCCCTCACATTGGATTCCAGAACACTCCTAAGAACTTCTGAATGTTTGTCCCTCACATAGGATTCCAGAACATTGCTGCTGGGTTCTGAGTGTTTGTCCCTCACATAGGATTCCAGAACAATGTTGCTGGGTTCTGAGTGTTTTTCCCTCACATAGGACTCCAGAACACTGCTTCGAAGGTCTGAATGTTTTTCCCTCACAAAGGATTCAAGAACACTGCTGCTGGGTTCTGTGTGTTTGTCCCTCACAAAGGATTACAGAGGATTGTTGCTGGGTTCTGACTGTTTGTCCTTTACATAGGATTCCAGAACAATGTTGACGGGTTCTGAGTGTTTGTCACTCACATAGGATTCCACAACACTGCTGCTGGGTTCTGAGTGTTTGTCCCTCACAAAGGATTCCAGAACACTGTTTCAAGGGTCTGAATGTTCGTCCCTCACATAGGATTCCAGAACAGTGTTTCTAGGTTTGAGTGCTTGTCCCTCACATGGGATTCCAGAACACAGTTGCTGGGTTCTGAGTATTTGTCCCTCACACAGGATACCAGAACACTGCTGCTAGTTTCAGTGTGTTTGTCCTTCACATAGGATTCCAGAACACTGCTACAAGATTCTGAATGTTTGCCCCTCAAAAACGATCCCACAACACTGCTGCTGGATTCTCAGAGTTTGTCCCTCACATACGAATCCAGAACACAGCTGCTGGGTTCTGTTTTTCCCACACAAAAGATTACAGAGCACTGCTGCTGGTTACTGAGTGTTTGTCCCTCACATGGGATTCCAGAACACTCCTTCGAGTGTCTGAAGGTTTGTCCCTCACAAAGGATTTTAGAACACTGCTGCTGGATTCTGAGTATTTGTCCCTCACATGGGATTCCAGAACACTGCTGCTGGGTTCTGAATGTTTGGCCCTCTCATAGGATTCCAGAACACTGGTGAGAGGTTTTGAATGTTTTATCCTCACAAAGGATTTCAGAACACTGCTGCTGGGTTATGTTTGTCTCTCACAAAGTATTGCCGAGAACCGCTGCTAGTTTCTGAGTGTTTGTCCCTCACATAGGATTCCAGAACACTTCTCCTAGTGTATGAATGTTTGTCCGTCACAAAGGATTCGAGAAAACTGTTGCTGGTTTCTGAGTGTTGATCACTGACATAGGATTCCAGAACACGGCTGCTGGGTTCTGAGTTTCAGTCCGTCACATGAGATTCTAGAACACTGAAGCCGGGTTAAGAATGTTTGTCCCTCACATAGGATTCCAGAGCACTGATACGTGGTTCTCATTGTTTGTCCCTCACAGAAGATTCCAGAACACTCCTGCTGGTTTCTGAAAGTTTTTCCATCACATAGGATTCCAGAACGCTGCTGCTGGGTTCTGTTTTTTCCTCACAAATAATTCCAGGGCACCGCTGCTTGTTTCTGAGTGTTTCTTCCTCACATAGGATTCCAGAACACTTCTACAAGTGTCTGAATGTTTGTCCCTCTGATAGGATTCCAGAACACATTGGCTGGGTTCTGAGTGTTTGTCCTGCACAAAGGATTCCAGAACACTGCTGCTGGGTTCTGAGTGTTTGTCCCTTACATGGGATTCCAGAACACTGCCACTGGGTTCTGAGTGGTTGTCCGTCATATAGAATTCCACAATACTGCTGCTGGGTTCTGAGTGTTTGTCCCTCACATAGGATTCCAGAAAACCTCTACTAGTGTCTGAATGTTTGTCCCTCAAGTAGGATCCCAGAAAACAGTGGCTGGGTTCTGAGTGTTTGTCTCCCACATAGGATTCCAGAACACTGTTATGAAGTTCTGAAGGTTTGTCGCTCTCATAGGATTCCAGAACACTGCAGCTGGGTTCTGAATGTTTTTCCCTCACACAGAATTCCAGAACACTGCTGCTGTGTTCTCAGTGTTTGTCCATCACCTATGATTCCAGAACACTGCTACTGCGTTCTGAGTGTTTGTCCATCACAAAGGATTCCGGAACACTGCTGCTGGTTTCTGTGTGTTTGTCCCTCAGAATGGATTCCAGAACACTGCTACAAGGGTCTGAATGTGTGTCCATCACAAAGGATTCCAGAACACTGCTGCTGGTTTCTGATTGTTTGCCCCTCACATAGGATTCCAGAAAACTGCTTCGAATGTCTGAATGTTTGTCCCTCACAGAGGATTCTAGAACACTGCTACTGGGTTCTGAGTGTTTGTCCCCCACATGTGATTCCAAAAAACTGCTGGTGGGTTAAAAGTGCTTGTGTCTCACATAGGATTCCAGAACACTGCTACGAGGTTGTGAATATTTGTCCCTCACTATGAATTCCAGCACACTGCTGCTGGGTTCTGAGTGTTTCTCCCTCACATTGGATTCCAGACCACTGCTACTAGGTTCTGAATGTTTTTCACTCAGAAAGATTCCAGAACACTGCTGGTGGGTTCTCTTTGTTTATCCTTCACAAAGGATTCCAGAGGACTGCTGCTGATTTCTGAGTGTTTCTCCATCACTTAGGATTCCAGAACATTTCTATGAGTGTCTGAATATTTATCAGACAGATAGGATTCCAGAACACG
Source organism: Homo sapiens (assembly GCF_000001405.40). NCBI lineage: Eukaryota > Metazoa > Chordata > Mammalia > Primates > Hominidae > Homo > Homo sapiens. The sequence continues at coordinate 18,441,774 of NC_000014.9, read as the reverse complement.
GTGGCTGGGTTCTGAGTGTTTGTCCCTCACATAGGATGCCAGAACACTGCTGCTGGGTTCAGAGTGTTTGTCCATCATGTAGGATTCCAGAACACTGCTGATGGGTTCTGAGTGTTTGTCCCTCACATAGAATTCAAGAGCATTGCTGTTGGGTTCTGAGTGTTTGTCCCTCAACGAGCATTCCAGAACAGTGCTGCTGGATTCTGAGTGTTTGTTCCTCACTAAGGATTCCAGAACACTGCTACTGGGTTCTCAGTGTTTGTCCCTCACATAGGATTCCAGAACTCTGCTACGAGTTTCTGAATGTTTGTCCAACACAAAGGATTCCAGGACACTTCTGTAGGATTCTGAGTGTTTGTCGTTCACATAGGATTCCACAACACTGCTTCTAGTGTCTGAATATTTGTCCCTCACAAAGGATTCCAGAACACTGCTGCTGGGTTCTCAGTGTTTGACACTCACATACGATTCCAGAACACGGCTGCTGGGTTCTGAGTGTTTGTCCTTCACATAGGAATTACAGAACACTGCTGGTCGGTTAAGAGTGTTTGTCTCTCACATAGCGTTCCGGAACACTGCTATGAGGTTGAGAAAGTTTGTCACTCACAAAGGATTCCAGAACACTGTTGCTGGGTTCTGAGTGTTTGCCCTCACATAGGATTGCAGACCACTGCTGCTGGGTTCTGTCTGTTTTTCCCTCACAAAGGATTACAGAGCACTGCTTCTGGGTTCTGAGTGTTTGTCCCTCACATAGGATTCCAGAACACTGCTTCGAGTGTCTGCGGGTTTGTCCCTCACAAAGGAGTCTAGAACACTACTGCTGGGTTCTGAGTGTTTTTCTCTCACATGTTATTCCAGAACATTGCTGATGGGTTCTGAGTGTTTGTCCATCAGATAGGATTGCAGAACTCTCCTGTGAGAGTCTGAATGTTTTTCCCTCAGAAAGGTTTCCAGAACACTGCTGCTATGTTCTGTTTACGTGTCCCTCTCAAAGGATTCTAGAGCATCTCTGCTGGTTTCTGAGTGTTTGTCCTTCCCAGAGGATTCCAGAACACTTCTATGAGTGTCTGAATAGTTTTGCCTCACATAGGATTCCAGAACACAGTGGCTGGGTTCTGAGTATTTGTCCCTCACATAGGATTCCAGAACACTGCTGCTGCGTTCTGGGTGTTTGTCCCTCACATAGGATTCCAGAACACTGCTGCTGTGTTCTGAGTGCTTTTCCTTCATATAGGATAGCAGAACACGTCTGCTGAGTTCTGAGTGTTTGTCCCTAACATAAGATGCCAGAACAGTGCTACGAGGGTCTGAATGTTTGTCTGTCAGAAATGATTCCAGAACACTGCTGCTTGTTTCCGAGTGATTGTCTCTCAAGTATGATTCCAGAACAGTGCTTTGAGGGTCTGAGTGTTTGTCACTCCCAAAGGATTCTAGAAACCTGCTGCTGGGTTCTGGGTGTTTATCACTCACATGTGATTCCAGAACACTGCTGCGACGTTCTGAGTGTTTGTCCCTCACATACAATTCCAGAACACTTCCAGGAGGTTATAAATGTTTGTCCCTCACGTAGGATTCCAAAACACTGCTGCTGTATTCTGTTTGTTTGTCCGTCACAAAGGATTCCAGAACACCTCTGTTGGTTTCTGATTGTGTGTCCCTCACATAGGATTCCAGAAAACCTCTACGAATGTCTAAATGTTTGTCCCTCAGATAGGATTCCAGAATACAGTGGCTGGGTTCTGAGTGTTTGTCCCACACATAGGATTCCAGAACACTGCTACAAAGTTCTGAATGTTTGTCACTCACATATGATTCCACAACACTGCTGCTGGGTTCTGAGTGTTTGTCCCTCACCTAGGATTCTAGAAGGCTTCTGCTGGGTTCTGAGTGTTTGTCCCTCACATAGAATTCCAGAACACTGCTGGTGGGTACTGAGTGTTTGTCCCTCACGTAGGATTCCATAACACTGCTGATGGGTTCTGAGCGTTTGTCCCTCACTAAGGATTCCAGAACACTGCTACTGGGTTCTGAGTGTTTGTCCCTCACATAGGATTCCAGAACACTGCTATGAGGGCGTGAATGTTTGTCCATCACAAAGAATTCCAGGACACTACTGCTGGGTTCTGAGTGTTTGCCCTTCACATATAATTCCAGAAAATTACTTCGTGTCTGAATGTTTGTCCCACACAAAGGATTCTAGAACACTTCTGCTGGGTTCTGAGTGTTTGTCACTCACATAGGATGCCAGAATATGGCTGCTAGGTTCCTAGTGCTTGTCCCTCAGATGGTATTCCAAAACACTGCTGTGGTTTAAGAGTGTCTGTGCCTCACATAGGATTCCAGAACACTACTGCGAGGTTCTGAATGTTTGTCCCTCACAAAGGATTCCAGAAGGCTTCTGCTGGGTTCTGAGTGTTTCTCCCTCACTTAGGATTCCAGAACTCTGCTACGAGGGTCTGAATGTTTTTCCCTCAGAAAAGATTCTAGAACACTGCTGCTGGTTTCTGAGTGGTTGTCTCTCACTTAGGATTCCCAAACACGGCTGCTGGGTTCTCAGTGTTTGTCCCTCACATGAGATTCGTGAACACCGCTGCTATGTTAAGAGTGTTTGTCCCTCACATAGGTTTCCAGAACACTGCTACGAGGTTCTGAAAGTTTGTCCCACACAAACAATTCCAGAACACTGCTGCTGGATTTTTAGAGTTTGTCCCTCACATAGGATTCCAGAAAACTGCTTGTGGTTTCTGAGTGTTTGTCCCCTGCAAGGGATTCCAAAACACTGCTGCTGGGTTCAGAATGTGTGTCCCTCACATAGGATTCCATAACACTACTACGAGGGTCTGAATATTTTTCCCTCACAAAGATTCCAGAGAACTGCTGCTTCCTTCTGTTTTGTTTATTTATTTATTTTTTGTCCCTCTCAAAGGATTCCAGAGCACTGCTGCTGGTTTCTTAGTGTTTGTCCCTCACATAGGATTCCAGAACACTTCTACGAGGGTCTGAATATTTGCCCCTCAGGTAGTTTTCCAAAACACAGTGGTTGGGATCTGAGTGTTTGTCCCTCACATAGGATTCCAGTACAATGCTTCGAAGTTGTGAATGTGTGTCACTCACATAGGATTCCAGAACACTGCTGCTGTGTCCTGAGTGTTTGTCCCTCACACAGGATTCGGGAACACTGCTATGAGGGTTTGAATGTTTTCCCTCAAAAAGAATTACAGAGCACTGCTGCTTGGTTCTGTTTTTTTGTCCCTCACAAAGTATACCAGAACAACACTGCTGGTTTCTGAGTGTTTGTCACTCACGTAGGATTCCAGAACACTTCTACACGTGTTTGAATATTTATCCCGCAGATAGGATTGCAGAACACAGTGGCGGGGTTCTGACTGTTTGTCCCTCACATAGGATTCCAGAACAATGCTGGTGGGTTCTGTGTGTTTGTCCCTCACTTAGGTTTCCAGAACACTGTTGCTGGGTTTTGAGTGTTTGTCCCTCAAATAGAATTCTAGAACATTGCTGTTATGTTCTGAGTGTTTGTCCCTCACTGAGGATTCCAGAAAACTGCTGCTGGGTTCTGAGTGTTAGTCCCACACGTAGGATGCCAGAACACTGCGACTGAGTTCTTAGTGTTTGTCCCTTACATAGGATTCCAGAACAGTGCTTCGAGTGTCTGAAAGTTTGTCCCTCACAAAGGATTCTTGTACACTGTTGCTGGGTTCTGAGTGTTTGTCCCTCACATGGGATTCCAGAACAATGCTCTTAGGTTCTGAGTGCTTGTTCCTCACATAGGATACCAGAACACTCCTACGAGGGTCAGAATGTTTTTCCCTCACAAAGGATTCCAGGGCACTGCTGCTGGGTTCTGTTGGTTTGTCCCTCAGAAAAGATTCCAGAGCACTTCTGCTGGTTTCTCAATGTTTCTCACATAGAATTCCAGAACACTTCTAAGAGTGTCTGAATGTGTGTCCCTCAGGTAGTATTCCAGAACACAGTGGTTGGGTTCTGATTGTTTCTCCCTCACATAGGAATCCAGAACACTGCTGCTGGGTTTTGAGTGTTTGACCCTCACGTAGGATTCCAGAACACTGATTCAAGGGTCTGAATGTTTGTCCCTCAGGAAGGATTCTAGAAAACTGCTGCTGGGTTGTGAGTGTTGGTCACTCACATAGGATTCCAGAACATGGCTGCTGAGTTCCAAAAGTTTGTCCATCACATGGGATTCTATAACACTGCTGCTGGGCTAAGAGTGTTTGTACCTCACACAGGATTTCAGAACACTACTACGAGGTTCTGAATGTTTGTCCCTTACAAAGCATTCCAGAACACTGTTACTGTTTTCTGAGTGTTTGTCCTCACAGAGGACTCCAGAACACTGCTGCTGAGTTCTGTTTGTTTGTCTCTCAAGAAGGATTACAGAGAACTACTGCTGGGCTCTCAGTGTTTATCCCTCACTTAGGTTTCCAGAACACTGCTTCAAGTGTCTGAAGTTTTGTCCCTAACAAAGGATTCTAGAGCACTGCTGCTGGGTTCTAATTGTTTGTCCCTCAAGTGGGATTCCAGAACATCGCTGCTAGGTTCTTAGTGTTTGTCCCTCACATGGGTTTCCAGAACACTGCCACGAGAATCTGAATGTTTTTCCCTCACAAAAGATTCCAGAACACTGCTGCTTGGTTCTGTTTGTTTGTCCCTCACAAAGGATTCCAGAGCACCGCTGCTGGTTTTTGAGTGTTTGTCCCTCACATAGAATTCCAGAACACTTCTAAGAGTGCCTGAATGTGTGTCCCTCAGATAGGATTCCAGAACACAGTGGCTGGGTTCTGACTGTTTCTCCCTCACATAGGAATCCAGAACACTGCTGCTGGGATCTGAGTGTTTGTCCCTCACATAGGGTTCCAGAACACTGCTTCAAAGGTCTGAATGTTTGTCCCTCACAAAGGATTCTAGAACACTGCTGCTGGTTTCTGAGTGTTTGTCACTCACATAGGATTCCAGAACACCGCTGCCAGGTTTTGAGAGTTTGTTCCTCACATAGGATTCCAGAACACTGCAGCTGGGTTAAGAGTGTTTGTCTCTCACATAGGATTCCAGAACACTGTTACGAGGTTGTGAATGTTTGTCCCTCACAAAGGATTCCAGAACACTGCTGCTGGTTTCTAAGTCTTAGTCACTCACGTAGGATTCCAGAACACTGCTGTTGGGTTCTGTTTGTTTGTCCCTCAAGAAGGATTACAGAGAACTGCTGCTGGGTTCTGAGTGTATCTCCCTCACATAGGTTTCCAGAACACTGCTTCGAGTGTCTGAAAATTTCTCCTTCACAAAGGATTCTAGAACACTGCTGCTGGGATCTGAGTGTTTGCCCTTATATTGGATTCCAGAACACTGCTTCAAAGATATGAATGTTTGTCCCTCACAAAGGATTCCAGAACACCGCTGCTGGGTTCTGAGTGTTTGTCACTCACATAGGATTCCAGGACACCGCTGTGGGGTTTTGAGAGCTTGTTCCTCACATGGGATTCCAGAACACTGCTGCTGGGTTAAGAGTGTTTGTCCCTCACATAGGATTCCAGAACACTGCTATGAGATTCTGAATGTTTGTCCCTCACAAAGCTTTCCAGAACACTGCTGCTGGTTTCTAAGTGTTAGTTCGTCACGTAGGATTCCAGAACACTGCTTCTGGGTTCTGAGTGTTTGTCCCTCACATGGGATTCCAGAACACTGCTGCTGGGTTAAGAGTGTTTGTCCCTCACATAGGATTCCAGAACACTGCTAGGAGATTCTGAATGTTTGTCCCTCACAAAGCTTTCCAGAACACTGCTGCTGGTTTTTAAGTGTTAGTCCGTCACGTAGGATTCCAGAACACTGCTTCTGCGTTCTGTTTGTTTGTCCCTCAAGAAACATTACAGAGAACTGCTGCTGGGTTCTGAGTGTTTCTCCCTCACATATGTTTCCAGAACACTGCTTCCAGTGTCTGAAGGTTTCTCCCTCACAAAGGATTCTAGAACACTGCTGCTGGATTCTGAGTGTTTGTCCCTCAAGTGGGATTCCAGAACATTGCTGCTGTGTTCTGAGTGTTTGTCCCAAACATGGGATTCCAGAACACTGCTACGAGAGTCTGAATGTTTTTCTCTCACAAAAGTTTCCAGAACACAGCAGCTTGGTTCCCTTTGCTTGTCCCTCACAAAGAATTCCAGAGCACTGCTGCTGGTTTCTGAGTGTTTGTCCCTCACATAGCATTACAGAACACTTCTAAGAGTGTCTGAATGTTTATCCGTCAGATAAGATTCCGGAACACAGTGACACGTTTCTGAGTGTTTCTCCCTCAGATAGGAATCCAGAACAGTGCTGCTGGGACCTGAGTATTTGTCCCTCACATAGGATTCAAGAACACTGCTTCCGAAGTCTGAATGTTTGTCTCTCAAAAGGGATTCTGGAACACTGCTGCTGGGTTCTGAGTGTTTGTCACTCACATAGGATTCCCGAACACCGATGAGGGGTTTTGAGAGTTTGTCTGTCACAGGGGATTGCAGAACACTGCTGCTGGGTTAAGAGTGTTTGTCCCTCACATAAGACTCCAGAACACTGCTACGAGGTTCTGAATGTTTGTCCCTCACAAAGCATTCCAGAACACTGCTGCTGGTTTCTGAGTGTTAGTCCCTCACATAGGATTGCAGAACACTGCTGCTGGGTACAGTTTGTTTGTCCCTCACGAAGGATTACAGAGAACTGCTGCTGGATTCTGAGTCTTTGTCCCTCACATAGGTTTCCAGAACCCTGCTTCGAGTGTCTGAAGGTTTGTCCCTGACAAAGGATTCTAGAACACTGCTTCTGGGTCTGAGTGTTTGTCCCTCAGGTGGGATTCCAGAACATTGCTGCTGTGTTCTGAGTGTTTGTCCCAAACATAGGATTCCAGAACATTGCTACGAGAGTCTGAATGTTTTTCCCTCACAAAAGATTCCAGAACACTCTAGCTGTGTTCTGTTTGTTTGTCCCTCACAAAGGATTCCAGAGCTCCGCTGCTAGTTTCTGAGTGTTTGTCCTTCACATAGTATTCTAGAACACTTCTACGATCATCTGAATGTTTGTCCCTCAGAAAGGATTCCAGAACCCAGTGGCTGGGTTTTGAGCGTTTGTTCTTCACATAGGATTCCAGAACACTTCTTCTGGGTTCCGAGTGTTTGTCCCTCACATAGGATTCCAGAACACTTCTGTTGGGATCTGAATGTTTTTCCTTCACATAGGATACCAGAACACTGCTGGTGGGTTCTGAGTGATTGTCCCTCACTTAGGATTCCAAAACAGTGCTACGAGGGTCTGAATGGTTGTCCGTCACAAAGGATTCTAGAACACTGGTGCTGGGTTCCGAGTGTTTGTCTCTCACGTAGGATTCCAAAACACTGCTTTGAGCATCTGAATGTTTTTCCCTCACAAAGGTTTCTAGAACACTGCTGCTGGGTTCTGAGTGTTTGTCACTCACATAAGTTTCCAGAACACTGCTGCTGGGTTCTGAGTGTTTGTCACACACTAACGATTCCAGAACACTGCTAGGATGTTCTAAATGATTGCCCCTCACTTAGTATTCCAGAACACAGTGTAAGGATTCTGAGTGTTTGTCCCCCACATAGTATTCCAGAACTCTGTTATGAAGTTCTGAATGTTTGTCGCTCACATAGGATTCCAGAACACTGCTGCTGGGTTCTGAATGTTTGTCCCTCACGTAGAATTCCAGAACACTGCAGCTGGGCTCTGAGTGATTGTCCCTCACATAGGATTCCAAAACACACCTACTTGGGTCTGAAAGTTTTACCCTCACAAAGAATTAAAGAACACTTCTGCTGGGTTCTGTTTGTTTGTCCCTCAGAAAGGATTCCAGAGCACCGCTGCTAGTTTCTGAGTGTTTGGGCCTCACAAAGGATTCCAGAAGCCTTCTATGAGTGTCTGAATATTTATCCCTAAGATAGGATTCCAGAACACAGTGGCTGGGTTCTGAGTATTTGTCCCTTATATGGGATTCCAGAAGACTGCTACTGAGTTATGAGTGTTTGTCCCTCACATAGGATTCCAGAACACTGCAGCTGGGTTCTGAGTGTTTGTCCGTCACATAGATTTCCAGAACAATGCTGTTGGGTTCTGAGTGTTTGTCCCTCATTGAGGATTTCAGAACAGTCCTGCTGGGTTCTGAGTGTTTGTCCCTCACATAGGATTGCAGAACACAGCTGCTGGGTTCTGAGTGTTTGTCCCTCACATAGGATTCCAGAATACTGCTTCAGGGGTCTGAATTTTCATCCCTCACAAAGGTTTCTAGAACACTGCTGCTGGGTTCTGAGTGTTTGTCACTCACACAGGATTCCAGAACATAGCTCCTGTGTTCTGAGTGTTTGTACCTCACATGGGATTCCAGAGCACTGTTGCAGGGTTCTGCGTGTTTGTCCCTCACTGAGGATTCCAGAATACTGCTACTGCTTCTGAGTGTTTGTCCCTCACATAAGATTCCAGAGCACTGCTACGAGGGCCTGAATGTTTGTCCATCACATAGGATTCCAGAACAATTCTACGAGTGTATGAATGTTTGTCCCTTAGATAGGAATACAGAACACAGTGGCTGGTTTCTGAGTGTTTGTCCCTCTCAAAGGATTCCAGAACTCTGCTGCTGGGTTCTGAGAGTTTGTGCCTCACATAGGATTCCACAACACTGCTGCTGGATTCGGAGTGTTTGTCCCTTACATAGAATTCCAGAACACTGCCGGTGGGTACTGAGTGTTTGTCCCTCACATAGGATTCCAGAACACTGCTGCTGGGTTCTGAGTGTTTGTCCCACACAAAGGATTCCAGGATACTGCTACTGTGTTATGAGTGCTTGTCCCTCAAATAGGGTTGCAGAGCACTGTTACGAAGGTCTGAATGTTTGTCCATCAGCAAAAATTACAGAACACTGCTGCTGGGTTCTGAGTGTTTGTCCCTCACATAGGATTCCAGAACACTGCTTCGAGTGTCTGAATGTTTGTCCCTCACAAAGGATTCTAGACAACTCCTGCTGGTTTCTGAGTGTTTGCCACTCACATAGGATTCCGAAGCACTCCTGCTGGATACTGTTTGTTTTTCCTTCACAACGGAATCCAGAAAAATATTGCTGCTTTCGGAGTGTTTGTCCCTCAGATTAGATTCCAGAACACTTCTTCGTGTGTCTGAATGTTTCTCCCTCAGATAGGACTCCAGAACACAGAGGCTGGGTTCTGATTATTTGTCCCCCACGTAGGATTCCATAACACTGCTAAGAAATTCTGAACGTTTATTGCTCTCATAGGATACCAGAACAATTCTGCTGGGTTCTGAGTGTTTGTCCCTCACATATGATTCCAGAACACTTCTATGAGTGTCTGAATATTTGTCCTTCAAATAGGATTCCAGAAGACAGTGCCTAGGTTTTGAGTGTCTGTCCCTCACATAGGATTCTAGAACACTGCTGCTGGGTTCTGAGTGTTTATTCCTCACATAGGATTCCAGAACACTGCGGCTGGGTTCTGAGTGTTTGTCCCTCACATAGAATTCCAGAACACTGCTGTTGAGTTTTGAGTGTTTGTCCCTCATTGAGGATTCCAGAACACTGCTGCTGGGTTCTGAGTGTTTGTCCCTCATGTAGTATTCCTGAACACTGATACTGAGGTCTGAGTGTTTTTCCCTTACATAGGATTGCAGAACACTCCTACTATGGTCTAAATGTTTGTCCATCACAAAGGTTTCCAGAACACTGCGGCTGGGTTCTGAGTGTTTGTCCCTCAGATAGGATTCCAGAACACTGCTTCATGGGTCTGAATGTTTGTCCCTCACAAAGGATTTTAGAACACTTCTACTGGGTTCTGAGTGTTTGTCACTCATGTAGGATTCCAGAATATGGCTGCTGGGTTCTGAGTGTTTGACCCTTACATGGGATTCCAGAGCACTGCTGCTGGGTTCAGACTGTTTGTCCCTCACACAGGTTTCCAGAACACTGCTATGAGGTTCTGAATCTTTCTCTTTCACAAACGATTCAACAACACTGCTGCTGGATTCTGAGTGTTTGTCCCTCACATAGGATTCCAGAACACTGCTGCTGGGGTATGTTTGTTTGCCCCTCCGAAAGGATTACAGAGCACTGCTACAAAGTTCTGAATGTTTTTCCCTCACAAAGGATTCCAGAACACTCCTGTTGAGTTCTGAGTGCTTGTCCCTCACACAGGATTACAGAACACTGCTTCGTGGGTCTGAAGGTTTGTCCCTCACAATGCATTCTAGAACACTGTTGATGGGTTCTGAGTGTTTGTCCCTCACACTGGATTTCAGAACACTGTTGGTCGGTTCTGAGAGTTTTTCCCTCACATAGAATTCCAGAACACTGCTGGGAGCCTCTGAATGTTTTCCCTCACAAAGGATTCGAGAAAACCCCTGCTAAGTTCTGTGTGTTTGTCCCTCACAAAGGATTCCAGAGCACCGCTGCTGCTTTCTGGGTGTTTTTCCCTCACGTATGATTCCAAAGCACTTCCTCGAGTGTCTTACAGTTTTTCCCTCACATAGGATTTCATAACACAGTGTCTGTGTTCTGAGTGGGGTACCTCACAGGTGATTCCAGACCACTGCTGCTGGGTTCTGAGAATTTGTCCCTGACATAGGATTCCAGAACACTGCCAGTTTGTTCTGAGTGTTTTTCCCTTACTTAGGATTCCACAACACTGCTATGAGGGTCTGAATGTTTGTCTAACACTAAGGATTCCAGAACACTGCTGCTGGGTTCTGAGTTTTTGTCCCTCACATAGGATTCCAGAACAATTTTTTGAATGTCTGAAAGTTTTTCCCTCTAAATGGATTCTAGAACACTGTTGCTGTCTTCTGAGTGTTAGTCACTCACTTAGTATTCCAGAACACGGCTGCTGAGTTCTGAGTGTTTTTCCCTCACAAGGGATTCCAGAACACTGCTGCTGGCTTAAGAGTGTTTTTCCCTCACATAGGATGCCAGAGCACTGTTATGAGGTTCTAAATATTTGTCCCTCACAAAGGATTCCAGAACACCTCTGAAAATTTCTGAGTGTCTGCCCCTCACATAGGATTCCAGAACACTGCTGTTGCTTTCTTTGTGTTTGTTCCTCATATAAGATTCCAGCCCACTGCTGCTGTGTTCTGAGGGTTTGTCCCTCACATAAGATCCCAGAATACTGCTACGAGGATCTGAATGTTTGTCCTTCACTTAGGATTCCTGAACACTGCAAACAGTGTCTGAATGTTTGTCCCTCATGAAGGTTTCCACAACACTGCTGCTGGGATCTGAGTGTTTGACCCTCACATAGGATTCCAGAACACTGCTATGAGGGTCTGAGTGTTTGTCTCTCCCATAGGATTCCAGAACACTGCTATGAGGGTCTGAGTGTTTGTCTCTCCCATAGGATTCCAGAGCACTGCTTTGAGAGTCTGAATGTCTGTCCCTCACTTAGGATTCCAGAACACCTCTGAAAGTTTCTGAGTGTCTGTCCCTCACATAGGATTCCAGAACACTGCTGCTGCGTTCTTTGTGTTTGTTCCTCATATAGGATTCCAGCCCACTGCTGCTGTGTTCTGAGGGTTTGTCCCTCACATAAGATCCCAGAATACTGCTACGAGGATCTGAACGTTTGTCCTTCACTTAGAATTCCTGAACACTGCAAACAGTGTCTGAATGTTTGTCTCTCACGAAGGTTTCCACAACACTGCTGCTGGGATCTGTGTGTTTGACCCTCACATAGGATTCCAGAACACTGCTATGAGGGTCTGAATGTTTTTCCCTCAGATAGGATTCTAGGACACTGCTATGAGGGTCTGAATATTTGTGCCTCACAATAGATTGCAGAACACTGCTGCTGGGTTCTGAGTGTTTGTCCCTCAAATATGATTCTAGTACACTGCTTCGAGGGTCTGAATGTTTGTCCCTTACATAGCATTCCAGAACACTGTTTCTGGGTTCTGATTGTTTGTCCGTCACATAGTATTCCAAAACACTGCTGCTGGGTTCTGAGTGTTTGTCCCTCACATAGGATTCCGGGACACTGCTACGAAGGTTTGAAAGTTTGTCCCTCACATAAGACTCCAGAACATTGCTACGAGGGTCTGAATGTTTCTCCTTTATGTACGATTCAGGAACACTGCTAAACTGGTGTGAATGATTGTCCCTCACGAAGAATTCCAGATCAGTGCTGCTGGTTTCTGAGTGTCTATCCCTCACATAGAATTCCAGAACACTGCTACAATGGTCTGAATGTCCATCCCTCACAAAAAATTATGGAACACTGCTGCTGGGTTCAGAGTGTTTGTCCCTCACTTTGGATTCCAGAACATGGCTTCTGGGTTCTAAGTGTCTGTCCCACACTTAGGATTCCAGAACACTGCTGGTGGGTTCTGTGTGTTTGTCCTTCACACAGGATTCCAGAAAACTGCTAGGTGGTTCTGAATGTCTGTCCCTCAGAAAGGTTTGCAGAACACTGTTGCTAGGTACTGAGTGTTTGACCCTCACATAGGATTCCAGAACACAGCTATGAGGTTGTAAAACTGTGTCCCTCACATAGGATTCTGGAACACTGCTGGGTTCTGAGTGCTTGTCCCTCACATAGGATTGCAGAACACTGCTGCGAGGGTCTGAATGTCTGTCCCTCACGTAGGATTCCAGAACACAGCAACGAGGGTCTAAATGTTTGTCCCTCACATAGGACTACAGAACACTGCTAAGAAATTCTGAATGTTTGTCCTTCACAAAGCTTTCCACAACACTGCTGCTGGGTTCTGAGAGTTTAACCATCTTATAGGATTCCAGAACACTGCTACGAGGTCATGAATATTTGTCCCTCGCGTAGGATTCCAGAACACTGCTGCAGGATTCAGAGTGTTTGTCCCTCACAAAGAATTCCAGAATACCGCTGCTGGATTCTGACAGTTTGTCCCTCACATAGGATTCGAGAACACGGATACGAGGGTCTGAATATCTGCCCTGACATAGGATTCCAGAACACTGCTGCTGCATTCTCAGTTTTTGTACCTAACGTAGGATTCCAGAACACTGCTGCTGGGTTCTGAGTGTTTGTCCCCCACATAGGATTACAGAACACTGCTACGAGGTTCTGAATGTTTATCCCTCACAAAAATTCTGGAACATTGCAGCTGGGCTCTGAGGGTTTGTCCTTCACAAAGGATTCCAGAGCACTGCTGTGTGTTTCTGAATGTTTGTCCTTCACATAAGGTTCCAGAACACTGTTACGAGGGTCTGAATGTCCCTCAGAGAGGATTCCAGATCATTGCTGCTGAGTTCTGAATGTTTTTCCCTCATATAGGATTACAGAACACCGCTGCTGGGTTCTGAGTGTTTGTCCCTCAGTTAGGATTCCAGAACACTGCAACAAGGGTCTGAATGTTTGTCCCTCACAAAGGATTCCAGAACAGTGCTGCAGGGTTCTTAGTGTTTGTCTCTCACATACGATTCCAGAACACTGCTACGAGGGGCTGAATGTCTCTCCCTCACATAGGATTCCAGAACACTGCTCCTGGGTTCTAAGTGTTTGTCCCTCACATAGGTTTCCAGAACACAACTACGAAGCTCTGAATGTTTGTCCCTCACATGGGATACCAGAACACTGCTGTTGGGTTTTGAGTGTTTGTCCCTCACATTGGATTCCAGAACACTTCTGCTGGTTTCTGTGTTTGTCCATCACACAGGATTCTGGAACTCTGCTACAAGGATCTGAAAGTTTTTCCGTCACAAAGGAATCCAGAACACTGCTGCTGGTTTCTGAGTGTTTGCCCCTCACATAGGATTCCGGAACACTGCTAAAAGGATCTGAAAGTTTGTCCGTCACAAAGGATTCCAGAACACTGCTGCTGGCTTCTGAGTGTTTGCCCCTCACATAGGATTCCATAACATTGCTGTAGGGTTCTGAGTGTTTGTCCGTCACATAGGATTCCAGAACAGTACTATGAGGGTCTTTATATTTGTACCTCACAAACGTTTCCAGAGCACTGCTGCTGGTTTCTGAATGTTTTACCCTCACATACGATTCCAGAACACGACAAAGAGGGTCTGAATGTTTGTCCTTTACAAAGGTTTCCAGAACTCTCTTGCTGTGTTCTTAGTCTTTGAACCTCACAAAGAATTCCAGGACAGTGCTACGAGTGTCTGATTGTTTGTCCCTTACATCGGATTCCAGAACACTGCTGCTGGGTTCTGAGTGTTTGTCACTCACATAGGATTGCAGAACACTAGTGCTGTGTTCTCTGTGTTTGTCCCTCACATGGGATTCCAAAACACTGCCACGAGGGTCTGAATATCAGTCCGTCACATGGATTTCCTGAACACTACTGCTTTGGTCTGAGTGTTAGTAACTCAAGTAGGATTCTAGAACACTGCTGCTGGGTTCTGAGTGTTTGTCCCTCACATAGGAATCCAGAACACAGCTACGAGATTCTGAATGTCTGGCTCTCACAAAGGATTCCAGAATACTACTGCTGGGTTCTGAGTGTTTGTCCCTCACATAGGATTCCAGAACACTGCTGCTGGGTTTGAGTATTTCTCCCTCACAAAGGATTCCAGAACACTGCTGCTGGGTTCTGAGTATTCGTCCCTCACATACGATTCCAGAACACTGCTACGAGGTTCTGAATGTTTGCCCCTCACATAGAATTCCAGAACAATACTATGAGGTTCTTAATATTTGTCCCTCACACTGGTTTCCAGAACACTACTGCTAGGCTCTGAGGGTTTTACCCTCACACAGGATTCCAGAACACTGCTACGAGGATCTGAATGTTTGTCCTTCACTTAAGATTCCAGAACACTGCTGCTGGGTTCTGAGTGTTTGTCCCTCACATAGGATTACAGAACACTGCTACGAGGTTTGAAGATTCCTCGCTCACTTAGGATTCCAGAACATTGCTACAAGTGTCTGATTCTTTGTCCCTCAGAAGGTTTCCAGAACACTGTTGCTGGGTCTGAGTGTTTGACCCACACACAGGATTCCAGTACATTGATATGAGGGTCTGAATATTTGTCCCTCACATAGAGTTCCAGAGCACTGCTGCTGCTTTCTGAGTTTTTGTCCCTCACTTAGGATTCCTGAACACTGCTGCTGGTTTCTGAGTGTTTGTCCATCACATAGAATTCCAGAACACTGCTGCTGGGCTCTGAGTGTTTGTCCTTCACATAGCATTCCAGAACACTGCTACGAGGATCTGAATGTTTGTCTCTCACTTAGAATCCGGGACACTACTACAAGGGTCTTAATATTTTTCCCTCACAAAGGTTTCTGGAACCTTGCTGCTGGGTTCTGAGTGTTTGTCTCTCACATAGGATTCCAGAACATGGCTACTGTTTTCTGAGTGTTTGTGCCTTATATAGGATTCCTGAACACTTCTTCTGGGTTCTGAGTGTTTGGCCCTCACATAGGATTCCACAACACTGCTGCTGGGTTCTGTGTGGTCGTCCCTCACATAGGAGTCCAGAATATTGCTACGATGCTCTGAATGTTTGTCCCTCACACAGGATTCCAGAGCACTGCTGTTGTTCTCTGAGTATTTATCCCTCACTTAGGATTCCAGAACACTGTTACGAGGGTCTGAATATCTGTCTGTCACATGGGATTCCTGAGCACTGCTGCTGGGTTCTGAGTGTTTGACTCTCCTATAGGATTCCGGAACACGGCAGTTCGGTTCTGAGTCTTTGTCCTTTACATAGGATTCCAGAAAACTGTTGCTGTGTACTGAGTGTTTGTCCTTCACATAGGGTTACAGAACACTGCTACGAGGATATGAATATTTGTCACTTGCATAGGATTCTAGAACACTGCTATGAGGGACTGAATATTTGTCCCTCACAAAGGTTTCCAGAACACTGCTTCTGGTTTCTGAGTGTTTGACCCTCACATAGGATTCCAGAACATTGCTACGAGGGTCTGAATATTTGTCCCTCAAAAAGGATTCCAGAATACTACTGCTGGGTTCTGAGTGTTTGTTCCCCACATACGATTCCAGAACACTGCAGTGAGGGTATGAAGGTTTGTCCCTCACATAGGATTCCAGCACACTGCTGCTGGGTTCTGAATGTTTGTCCCTCACATAGGATTCCAGAACCCTGCTACGACGGTCTGAATGTTTGTCCTTCACAGATTCCAGAAATCTGCTGCTGGGTTTTGGGTGTTTGTCCCTCACATAGGTTTCCACAACATAGCTGCTGGGTTCTGCATGTTTGTCCCTTACATAGGATTCCAGAACACCACTGCTGGCTTCTGTGTGTTTGTCCCTCACATAGGATTCCAGAGCACTGCTATGAGGGTCTAAAAGTATTTCCCTCACATAGGATTCCAGAACACTGCTATGAGGGTCAGAATATTTGTCCCTCACAAAGGATTCCAGAACAATACTGGTGGATTCTTAGGGTTTGACCCTGACATAGGATTCCAGAACACTGCTACGAGTGTCTGAATGTTTATCCCTCACATAGTATTCCAGAACACTGCTACTGGGTTCTGAGTGTTTGTCCCTCACATAGGATTCCAGAACACTGCTGCTGGGTTCTGTGTGTTTGTGCCTCACATAGGATTCCAGAACACTGTTATGAGGCTCTGAATGTTTTTTCCTCACAAAGGATTCCAGGACACTGCTAGGAAGTTCTGAATGTTTGTCGCCCAGATAGGATTCCAGAACACTGCTGCTGGGTTCTGTGTCTTTGTACTTCACATACGATTCCATATCACTGCTGCCGGGTACTGAGTGTTTGTCCCTGACTTAGGATTCCAGTACACTCCTACGAGTGTCTGAATGTTTGTCCCTCACATAGGATTTCAGGACACTACCATAAGGGTCTTAATATTTGACCCTCAAAATGTTTCCAAAACGCTGCCGTTGGGTTCTGAGAGTGTTACCCTCACATAGGATTCCAGAACACTGCTATGAGGGTCTGAATGTTTGTTCCTCACATAGGTTTCCAGAACACTGCTACAAGGGTCTCAATGTTTGTCCCTCACAAAGGATTGCAGAGCACTGCTGCTGGGTTCTGAGTGCTTGTCCCTCACATAGGATTCCAGAACATTGTGTGTTGGTCTGAATGTCTGTCCCTCACATGGGATTCCAGAACACACCTGCTGGGTTCCGAGTGTTTCTCCCTCACATAGGATTAGAGAATCCTGCTAAGAGGGTCTGAAAGTTAGTCCCTCACAAAGGTATCCAGAACACTGCTGTTGGGAGCTGAGTGTATTTCCCTCACATAGGATTCCAGAACACTGTTGCTGGGTTCTCAATGTTTGTCCCTCACATAGGATTCCAGAACACTGCTGTTGGGTTCTGAGTGTTTGTCCCTCACATAAGGATTCCATAACACTGTTACCAGGATCTGAATGTCTGTCCATCACATGGGATTCCTGAACACGTCTGCTGGGTTCAGAGTGTTTCACCCTCACATAGGAATCCAGAACACAGATACGAGATTCTGAATGTTTGTCCCGCAAAAAGGATTCCAGAACACGGCTGCTGGGTTCTGAGGGTTTGTCCCTCACATAGGATTCCAGAACAGTGCTACAAGGATCTGTATGTTTTTCTGTCAGAAAGGCTTCCAGAACACTGCTACTGGGTTCTGTTTGTTTGTAACTCACAAAGGATTCCAGAGAACTGCTCCTGGTTTCTGAGAGTTTGTCCCTCACATAGGATTCCAGAACACTTCTATGAGTGTCTGAATGTTTGTCCCTCAGAAAGGATTCCAGAACAGAGTGGCTGGTTTCTGAGTGTTTGTCGCTCTCATAGGATTGCAGAACACTACTGCGTTTTTCTGAGTGTTTGTTCCTCACATAGGATTCCACAAGACTGCTGCTGGGTTCTGTGTATTTGTCCCTCACATAGGATTCCAGAACACTGCTGCTGTGTTCTGAGTATATGTCCCTCACGTAAGATACCAGAACACTGCTACGACGGTCTGAATGTTTGTCTGTCACAAATGATTCCAGAACACCGCTACTGGGTTCTTAGTGTTTGTCCCTCAAAAAGGACTCTAGAACACTGCTGCTGGGTTCTGAGTGTTTGCCCCTTACATAGGATTCCAGAACACTGCTGCTGGGTTCTGAGTGTTTTTCCCTCACATAAGATTCCAGAACACTGCTGCTGGGTTCTGAGTGTTTGTCCCTCACATTGGATTCCAGAACACTGCTGCTGGGTTCTGAGTGTTGGTCCATCACATAGGATTCCAGAAAACTGGCACGAGGGTCTGAATGTTTGTCCATCACAAAGGATTCCAGAGCACTGTTGCTGGGTATCTGAGTGTTGGTCCCTCACATAGGATTCCAGAACTGTGCTTCGAGGGTCTCAATGTTTGTGCCTCACAAAGGATTCTAGAACACTGCTGCTGGTTTCTGTTTGTCAGTCACATGGGATTCAGAACACTTCTGCTGGGTTCTGAGAGTTTGTGCCTCACTTACGATTCCAGAACACTGCTACGAGGTTCTGAATGTTTTTCCCTCACCAAGGATTCCAGAACGCTGCTGCTGGGTTCTGAGAGTTTTTCTCTCACATAGGATTCAAAAACACTGCTGGTGGTTTCTGAGTGTTTGTCCCTCACATAGGATTCCAGAACACTGATGCTGGGTTCTGATTGTTTGTCCCTCACATGGGACTCCAGAACACTGCTACGAAGTTCTGCATCTTTGTTGCTCACACAGGATTCTAGAACACTGCTGCTGGGTTCTGAGTGTTTGTCTCTCACATAGGATTCCAGAACACTGCTGCTGGGTTCAGAGTGTTTATTCCACACACAGGATTCCAGAACACTGCTACGAGGGTCAGAATGTTTTTCCGTCACAAAAGATTCCAGATCACTGCTGCTGGATTCTGTTTGTTTGTCCCTCACAAAGGATTCCAGAACGCCACTGCTGGTTTCTAAGTGTTTGTCCCACACATAGGATTTCAGAACACTTCTACGAAGTTCTGAATGTTTGTTCCTCACAAAGGATTCCAGAATACTGCTGATGGTTTCTCAATGTTTGTCCCTAACATAGGACTCCAGAACACTGCTGCTTCGTTCTTCTTGTTTGTCCCTCACAAAGGATTCCAGAGCACTGCTGCTAGTTTCTGAGTGTCTGTCCCTCACATAGGATTCCAGAACACTTCTATGGGTTTCTGAATGTTTGACCCTCAGATAGGATTTCAGAACACAGTGGCTGGGTTCTGAGTGTTTGTCCCTCACGTAGTATTCTGGAACACTTCTACGAAGTTCTGAATGTTTGTCACTTAAAAAGGATTCTAGAACACTGCTGCTGGGTTCTGAGTGTTTGTCCCTCACATGGGATTCCTGAACACTGCTGCTGGGTTCAGAGGGTTTGTCCCTCACATAGCATTACAGAACACTGCTACGTGGGTCTGAATGGTTTTCCCTCACAAAGGATTCCAAAGCACCACTGCTGCTTTCTGGGTGTTTGTCCCTCACATAGGATTCCAGAACACTTCTATGGGTGTCTGAATATTTGTCACTCAGATAGGATTCCAGAACACAGTGGCTGGGTTCTGAGTGTTTTTCCGTCACATACAAATCCAGAACACAGCTTCCGGGTTCTGCTTGTTTGTCCCTCACATGGGATTCCCGAACACTGCTGCCACATTCTGAGTGTTTGCTCCTCTCATAGTATTCCAGAACACTGCTGCTTAGTTTTGAGTGTTTGTCTCTCACATAGGATTCCAGAACATTGCTACGAGGGTCTGAATGTTTGTCCATCACAAAGGATTCCAGAACACTGCTGCTGGGTTCTGAGTGTTTGTCCCTCACATAGGATTCCAGAACACTGCTTCATGTGTCTCAATGTTTGTCCCCTACAAAGTATTCTAGAGCACTGATGCTGACTTCTGAGTGTTTGTCACTCATATAGGAATCCAGAAAACTGCTGCTGGGTTCTGAGTGTTTGCCACTCACAGATGATTCCAGAACACAGCTAGGAGTTTCTGAATGTTTGTCCCTCACATAGGATTCCAAAACACTGCTGCTGGCTTCTGTATGTTTGTCCCTCAAATAAGATTCCAGAGCACTGCTGCTGGTTTCTGAGTGTTTGTCCCTCACATAGGATTCCAGAACACTTCTATGAAGTTCTGGATCTTTGGCGATCGCACAGGATTCCAAAGCACTGCTGCCAGGTTCTGAGTGTTTGTCCCTCACATAGGATTCCAGAACACTGCTGCTGGGTTCTGAGTGTCTGTCCCTTAAATAGGATTCCAGAACACTGCTACAAGGGTCTGAATGTTTTTCCTTCAGAAAGGAGTCCGGAACCCTGCTACTGGGTTCTGTTTGTTTGTCCTTTACAAAGGATTTCAGAGCACTACTCTTGGTTGCTTAGTGTTTGTCCCTCACATAGGATTTCAGAACACTTCTATGAGTGTCTGAAAGTTTGTCCCTCACATAGGATTCCAGAAGATAGTGGATGGGTTCTGAGTGTTTGTCTATCACATAAGATTCCATCACACTGCTGCTGGGTTCTCAATGTTTGTCCCTCACATAAGGTTCCAGAACACTGCTGCTCTGTTCTGAGTGTTTCTCCCTCACAGAGGATTCCAGAACACTGCTCCTGGGTTCTGAGTGGTTGTCCCTCACATAGGATTCCAGTGCACTGCTACAAGGGTTTGAATGTTTGCGCATCACAAAGGATTCCAGGACCCTGCTGCTGGGTTCTGAGTGTTTGTCCCTCACTTAGGATTCCAGAACACTGCTTCAAGAGTGTGAATGTTTGTCCCTCACAAAGGATTCTAGAACACTGCTCCTGGGTTCTGAGTGTTTGTCCCTAATATACTATTCCAGAACACTGCTGCTGGGTTCTGAATATTTGTCCCTCTCATGGGATTCCGGAAAACTGCTGCTGGGTTCTGAATGTTTGTCCCTCACATTGGATTCCAGAACACTGCTGCTGGGTTCTGAGTGTTTGTCCCTCACATAGAATTCCAGAACACTGCTACAAATCTCTGAATGTTTGTCACTCACACAGGATTCCAGGATGCTGCTGGATTCTCAGTTTTTGTCCCTCACATAGGATTCCAGAACACTGCTACGAGGGTCTGAATTTTTATCCATTACAATGGATTACAAAACAGTTCTGGAATCCTATGTGAGGGACAAATACTCTGAACCCAGCAGTGTTCTGGAATCCTATGTGAGGTCAGTGTGTGGGGATGGGGGAGGGATAACATTAGGAGATATACCTAATGCTAAATGACGAGTTAATGAGTGCAGCACACCAACATGGCACATGTATACATATGTAACAAAGCTGCATATTGTGCACATGTACCCTTAAACTTAAAGTATAATAATAATAAATTTAAAAAATAAAATAAAATAATTCGAAAAAGAATTAACATAGTTTTATGTAGTCTTTAGTAGACAACATTCATCCATGTAAATTAAACAGTATTTTCTACAATTATGTGAATATAAGGCCACAATATTTACTATGAATAAATCCCTTAAATAGTAATTTTAATATCGTTATTTATTCTTTTGAAATATAAAGTATTATAACTGAGTTAAGGTTACAGATAATTTTAAAAATTTGTCATTACTAGTATATTGAAATTACTTATACTTAGATATTTATGTCTAATATCCAAAGAAAATTTACTATCTAATTGTTACAGTAGATATTAATCTGACATGCTTATTAATTCATCCCATAGATATAATAATATGTCAGCTGGGCGTGGTGGCTCACAGCACTTTGGGAGGCAGAGGCGGGCGGATTACCTGAGGTCAGGAGTTTGAGACCACCCTGACCAACAAGGAGAAACCCCGTCTCTACTAAAAAAACACACACACACACAATTAGCCAGGGTTGGTGGTGCATGACTGTAATCCTAGCTACTCAGGAGACTAAGCCAGGAGAATCACTTGTACCCTGGAGGTGGAGGCTGCAGTGAGCTGAGATTGCTCCATTGGACTCCAGCCTGGGCAACAAGAGCAAAACTCTGTCTCAAAAACCAAAAAAAAAAAAAAAAAAAGATTTAGTAATATGTTAGCAAAATTTTACATTCTATCTTTTTTGTTTTTGTTTTTGAGATGGAGTCTGACTCTGTCACCTAGGCTGGAGTGCAGTGGCGTGATCTCAGCTCACTGCAACCTCTGCCTCCTGGATTCAAGCGATTCTCTTGCCTCAACCCCTAAGTAGCTGGGATTACAGGTGTCTGCCACCACGCCTGGCTAGTTTTTGTATTTTAGTAGAGATGGGGTTTCACCGTGTTGGCCAGGCTGGTCTTCAACTCCCGACCCAGGTGATCGGCTTGCCTCAGACTCCCAAAGTGCTGGGATTACAGGCATGAGCCACCACGTCCTGCCTTACAGTCTATTCTTATGTTTTACTAAATTAGGAATGCCACTCTTACAGAACAAATCAATGCAAGTGATGTGACTACCCAAAAATCATGAATCATAATAGTCTTCAGTTAGATAAGTTGCAATCTCAGATATAGTTCTACTATGTAAACAGAGTCAAATTCCAATTCTTTATCAAAAAGTGCTAGCGAAGGTTGCCTGATGTGTTCCAGTGTAGATCCTCAATCCAATGGCCAGAAGATGAGAGAGCAGAAGAGATGGAAGAGAAATCTTAAGAAATTCTGCTGAGAATATGCGCCCTTTCTTCATAACACTGTGTTTCTTGTGTTGAGAGCAGCTGTGCATTTTGGGTATTTAGAGAGAAACTTTCTCAGGGGAGTATTTTCTGGTCGACTTGGCTAATATTATATGTAGTCTGAATTTCTCTTTCAGATGCTTTTAACCTCGTAATACAATTTTATTCAGACTGAGAGCTGTTTTTCTCTTCAATGCTTTCAGTGTCTGTCTTCAGAAGGGACACCCAAAAGTGTCTCATGGTGTTTCTGAGTGAGTTGGGCTGTCACAATGAGAACTCTTTGGCACTCTATCGAGACCCATAATGGGAATCCAGCAGTATTTTTTTGTCACCATTATAAATAGAAACTTAGGCTGAAACATTGCTCCCATTTCCATTATTGCAAAAGTGCAATCCTACCCAGGAGTCCTGCAGGTTCTCCTCCTGCAGTTCAGGGACGCTGCTCCATAATGTGACACTGGAGTGCAGCTGTGGCAGTTGGAGTCCATGTGGAATGTGGGCTGCCAGCTGTGTGCTGTGAGCTGCGCCTCGGTGGTAGATGGTAGGGGAAGAGATGGGACATAGGCCACCAGGACAGGGCGAGCAGGATTGCTGCAGCCCGTGGCCTAGGGATTAGGGACCCTTTGCTTTGAAATGTAAATAGCCAAAATAATAGTATTCTATCTCACAGTGTCTGTAAAAGAACCAGAGCCTACTTTCAGCAGGCACCTGGCTGTAAGTTGGAAAACTACCTCCTATCATGAAGATGTCAGAAGTTTATTTTTCCTTTCAATATAACCAATTAACATACACAAATGGCCTCCCCTATTACCAGATGAATTTAGGATAAACTGTGTATGACAAATGGTGCTGTCAAATCTTCTTCTTGAGGACTAATTATAGAGACCTTTCTGTCTTTGCAATCTCTTGAGCAGATTGTCTGTGATTCACGTCACATCACATTCTGGTTTTATTGTGCAATAAAACACTTTTCTTTCTGTTCTGTTATTGTGGGTTTTTTCTAGGACTGGAGACAATTTTCCTTTTAATTATATTTCTCAAACACTGTCCACAATTACCAGACATTGTATATACTTATAAGGTGCCCACCAAGCTTCACCTTAGAGAAGGCTTTCCCTCTCATTCTTCCAGTCAACCCAGTCAGTTATGCTTCAAAGTGCACACTGACCCCAGAGTATGCAGGCAGAATTGTGTCTCTGCCTGTTTCACATCTATAGTCCTCTACAACCACTTGTAGAGAGGTGAAGCCTTTCTACAAGTGGTTGACAAAATTCACAGGACAGTAATCAGCCATTTCACCTCTTTCAGTGACCATAGTGTCTTCAGACGTGAAACTGAGTTGGAGACTATTAGGCCTAGAAGAACAATTAGAGTGACATGTGCGCATTGAGTAAACGTGAGTATCTCAACGTTCCTCTTTCTCCTCCTCCCAAAATTCCCATAAATGTGTAGTTAACACCTGCCATTTCTCCACCCATCCAGGACCTAAATCTCCAGTACCAAATTCTGAATCTCGGTCTTGAGATTAGAGGAAAAAGAATAACTTTGATCTGCGGAGTGCAAGTCCTTTTAGTTTTATCAGGCCCGGAGAGACATAAAAATGAGAACATAATTATGTTCTACTGCCTCCTTTGAGCTACTTTTTTACCTCTTGAAACTGCTATTGCTACAAGTAGATATAAATTAACCTAATAATGCCACACTGGATGTTATAAGCAATACCTTATAGCTTAAAAATATATGGCCAATTAGTCATCAATGCTATTTCTGTAGATCAAGAAGAATTTCTGACAAACAACTTTGTTTCAGTCCACTCCCTGTCCCTCTTTTTTGCCTTTGTAAATCCACTTGTAACTGCTGCTAATTAAAGTGTAGATTCAAGGCAACTTGAATCTATGCTCCCAGATTTCAATCCTGAGGCTTGGCCCAAATAAACTCTCTACTTAAACTAGTGTTGCCTTAGCCTTTTCTTTTTAGGCTGACATATCATGTGCTAGAGCAGACTTTATGATGGAAGTTTTTTTGTTTTTACTCTTCTTGCTGTAACACCAAAGAATGAAGAGTCAGGATGATCTTACCTGTAATCTGCACATAAGAGCTGAGCTCTCCCTGGGATTCACAGGAGAGAGCCAGATTTTGGATTGAGAATGTACAGAAAACCCATAGGAGACATTTTCTGATCTGTGAGATGTCAGCATAGAAATCTTAAAGCCCTCCTTTCAGAGTGTATCCCTTTGAGCTTTCCAGATATTTTCCAGTGACCTGCTATGGTTATGTGAGAGGCTGCTGGTGTAAGTAGAATCTGGTTGCACAATCTGTAAGTGTAAACATACATGTGAGCAGGGAGAGATCAAAGCCACAAAATACCCAGAGCAATGACATAAGTTTACCTATTTGTAAAATGTGATACTGGAGTAGAGTATCCTTGTCCTTTCTCTTACCTAAGAGCTAGCTAATCAGAACAGGTGATATCACATGTAGATCCAGGTTCTGGAGCTATACCAGGGCAGTTCCATTTTCTATTTAGAGTCAGCTTGAGTCTTTCCTGCCTGGATCATCATAGGGTCATCAGTCCATGGTCACTAGGAATCCTCTCACAATCATCCGGGAATCTTTAAAACATTTCAGGATATCCTGTACAGACTTGGGTCAGGCTGGCAGGAGTGTCTAATTCTGCTTCCATGTTAGAGGAAGGGAAGTGAGTCATTCATGTCTGTTCCTTCTTTTGTAGAAAGAATCTCCTTGGTTGGTACCCGGATGAGAGTTTCTCCAGTTTCCTTGGCAAAAAATTCAGGAGTTCTGGAGACTCAGACTGATAAACAAATTGCCTCCATTTCATATGGCCTTTAGAAAAATAGATGAAGCAGTCATGGTCCTTGTCATTCAAAAACTTTCAGTCTAGAGCAACTGGATAAATGGTCTAATTAAGCATCATATAGTCAGTACAATAAAGTGGGGGTATTAAGGGGACTTGGGTGATGGCTCTTATGTTGTTGTGACTTCTGATGTCACCACCTGAAGAGCTATTATCAAACAGGAGAGTTATTTGTATTTCTATTGCTTTTACCTTGCTAAGAATACATATTTTCTAATAAAATTATCCTAGAAAGCCCTAAAAATTTTGCTTAAATTGTTTGTTATTATATGTTATAAAATAGAGTAGTGGCTAAATGGATTAAAATTATACAAACTCTTAAGTTTCTCTTGGACAGGCTTAGGAAAGACAGAACAAGAAGTACTCCAGCACCATAGAGATCATAATTCAACATAGGACCACTTCTCCACCCCAGCTCTGTCCAGATTCACCCTTTTCTGAGCCTCATTCAGATCTGGTCCCACCCTGGAGTCTCTCCTCACAGAACTCATTAGAGGAGACCAGAGATTTGGGAGGTAGCTCCTGCTGCCTCTCTAGAGCTTATGCTCACAATATTCTGAAACCCAAAAGAAGATGAATTACAGCAATAACCTATATATTTTGAGGTCTTATCTCTTTTTAATTAAAACCAGTACTTGTAGAGACATTCCATCCCAGTAGTTACTCCACAAGTCACAAGAAAGTAAATAGAAACACAATAAAAAATCCCTCTGAACTACACTTAACCCTTTCCTTTCTGTATCCCTCCCATCTGTCTATATTTATCTCTCATGCTATTCATTTAAAAAAAAAAACCAGTGAGAGGCCGGGCTCTGTGGCTCATGCCTGTAATCCTAGCACTTTAGGAGGCCGAGGTGTGCGGATCACTTGAGGTTGGGAGTTCAAGACCAGCCTGACCAACATGGAGAAACCCTGTCTCTACTAAAAATACAGACTTAGCTCAGTGTCATGGTGCATGCCTGTAATCCCAACTACTCGGGAGGCTGAGGCAGAAGAATTGCTTGAATCCAGGAGGTGGAGGTTGCAGTGAGCAAAGATTGATCGTACCATTGCACTTCCAGCCTGGGCAACAAGGTTGACACTCTGTGCCCCCCCCAAAAAAAATCAACAAGAGATAAAGAGGAGAAGAAAACAATGCTGGCCCCTTTATCTAAAGTCTGAGAATTATTGAACACTTAGTACCCAACTCTCAAGTTGTTACGAAGATTAAATCACATAATGTGATGTTCCCAGCACAGTGCTCTGTAACACACTCCTGAGCACATATTACCTACTTAATAAGCATTGCATGAGTATATGTGTACATGTTGTTTTTCAGTGCAGACTTACTCAGACATTGCTGCCTTCTCCTGTCTCTGTAAACTTTAAAAAGCTAGCAAAGAATGTGGTCTTTCAGGATAGAGATTGATTGTTTATTTGATCAGAAGTATTTGTGTTGTGATGAGTGATGAGTGTAAGAGTCTGTTCCATGCCTGATTTTTCTAGCTAAATGCTACTAATGATGGGTCTGGGGAAGCTACATCAGCATTGACAGATGTATTTAAAATGTACTTTCATGGACCCTTTTAAAACCTGCAGAATCACATTACATAGTGTGGGGCCAGGGTTACCAAATGATTTATATGCACATTGAAGCTTGAGAGGCAATGCTTAGCTAAGTGATTCTTGGCCCAGGCTTCTAATTAAGATTCCATGGCCAGGTTGCAGAAATCTTTTCACTTGTGCCCTTCCCGCAGGCTCTGTATATTGTTCTGTGTGGAAGCATCCTTGTTGATATAATTAAGTGCCTCCAGGTTGAGGCCAGGGTCAAACATGAGGAATTCAAAATACATTCATGAGAGTTGAGTTCAAACTTTACTCCAAAGGGAGATCACAGAGCCTGCTATGGTTGGATTTGGTAGGGACAAGTTTGTGTGGCCCATATTCCCATTGCTGTAGCAGAAATTGTGGCATCTGTGGCAGGAAAAGAGAAAGATAAATTTTGATCTTCATGGAGGAGCTCACTGTACTTGAATCTCACCTGTTATAAACAACATAAATGGGTGGACATTTTCTGCATGCCTGGATCTTTCTACCTGTGTTTGTGGTGGTAGCAGGTGAAGGGATTGTGCTGATTCCTTTAAAGGCATATTCCCAAGATGCAGGTGTGACTTGTCCAGAGAATATCACCTGAGAAGAAATTCTAGAGAAGGATGATGAAGAGAAAAATGGCTTTTTTTTCTGTGAAGACACAGGTGACTGTGTCTTCAGATAGGGAGCAGTGTTCACTCTGCCTCCTGGAATGCCATATGTTTAGAACTTACAAACCTGTACTTCTTGATTTTATGCTGTTTCTCCCTATAAGTTTGTTTAAACATTTTTTCTTCTCATGATAGTCAAGGAACTCTGAAAAAAACTTTTTCTCTACATACTAGAGCCTTCTTGACATTCTCTTTATCTTGGCTTCTTCTCTGTCATGCAGAATTCTCACCATTAATTTAAGACTCGTAATATTAAAAATATTCCCTTTGGCTGGGCAAGGTGGCTCATGCCTATTATCCCAGCACTTTGAGAGGCCGATGTGGGCTGATGACCTGAGGTCAGTAGTTTGAGACCAGCCTGGCCAACATGGTGAAACCCTGTCACTACTAAAAATACAAAAAATAGCTGGGCGTGGTGGCAGGTGCCTGTAATCCCAGCTACTTGGGAGGCTGAGGCAAGAGAATCACTTGAACCCAGGAGGTGGAGGTTGCAGAGGTTGCAGTGAGCCTACATCATGCCACTGCACTCCAGACTGGGCAACAGAGAGAGACTCCATCTCCAAAGGAAAAAAAAAAAAAGAAAAATACCCTTCATTGCTGGTGCTGGTGCACATGGAAAGGTATGGATACCCAAGATTCCTACTGGGGAAGAGGTGGGGTTCTTAGATATTCATGCAAAAGGGGAATATGTAATGTTGAAGCTCTGTCTGTGTGCTCCATCAACTCCATGCGGAACAGGATTAAAATATGCACATTTGAATGGGATGGCATTTATTACCCAGAATAATTCAGAAAGTTTTGAAAAAAATAATTAGGAGATACTCGCTTTCTAGAATGCTAAAGAAAGTCTGCGTAAATACTCTGTTAGAGATTACACAATGTGAGTGATTACTGTAGTTTGCATTTTGCATAAAACTTGTTTCTTTATGATTAGATTTGAATTACAATTTGCTTCTTTCGCAGGGGCCAGTATCACAGCAGTGATATTGTGTCCTTCTGTGAGCATCAGCGCATGATGAAAAATTTGTTCTGTTATAATTGGTGTTAATTTGATTCGCTTAGTTAAATAGTTCTCTGAGAATTTTTTTCCACTCTAGAGTTATTTTTCTCTTTATTATTGAGTACCTTGGGGACATTTACCAGCTGATGTGCATAAAGTATCACATGTAATCTGGAAGTTCTCTTTTCTTCTTAGATTCTCTTTGCGTATGTCTTTCTTTAAAAAGTGAAGTCTCTCATCTTTGTTTACTGGTCATAAAAACCCAGGCTCTGCCACATAATGAATGTTTGACAAAATATTTATCTTGGACCAGAAAGATTGGTGTCACTTGGGAGCTTGTTAGAAATTCAGAAACTCAGGTTTTACCTCAGGTTTCTTGAAACAAAATCTGCATAAAAAGATCTCCAGTTTATTGTTGTACACATTAAAATTTGAGAGGTACTTTATAACTAAGCCTGAATTTTTTATCTGAGAAATATACAGAACTTATACTGTATGATTAAATCAAGCACTCAAAAATGTACATGTCTATGTTCCTGTTGTTAATTTTGTACTTTATCATTCAAAAAATATCATCAATACACTACACTGGTATTGTGAATCTTATGCTCTCTTTTCTCAGAGATAGAGAATACAACAGAATATATTTTGTTGTGAGTTATTTTATAGGACAATTTCAGTCGTATAAGTCAGAATCAGTTCTCTTCACTCATTTTATCTTGAGTCAATTTAAGAATTCTGTCCATGGCCACTTGAAGTGTGTGTGTGTGTTTTCAGGGACTGTTGACATTCAGGGATGTAGCCATACAATTCTGTCTGGAGGACTGTCAATACCTGGATGCTGCTCAGCAGAATTTGTATAAGGATGTGATGTTAGAGAACTACAGAAACCCGGTCTTCTTCGTTGAGGATAACTTCAATATAGAATTCCTAATTTACCCTAAAGGTTTCATTTTCTTCCTTTGTAGGATGTGTTTTGGTAATTTCTGCTTTGCATGAGTGAATTTCAGATCCCTGTTTTCAAGACAATCTTGAGGATTTTTTGGTGTGGAAAATAAATTCTTCAAGTTGTTTCATTTTGACCTGAATTTTCCCCTTTCCTGAGCTTATCTATAATATTCACTCTAGATAAGTGGTAATTTCAGAAATTTAGTGGCATAAAATAATGTTGTCCACAACTTAAAATTCAATTGCCACCACCAGTTTTTGATTCAGTAATACTGGGGAGTGAAACAGAGGACCCAGATATTTAATGTACTTTCTGAATATGCTAAAGGTTCTGTCAGTAAAAAGTATTTTGGAATTAATTTTCTAGAATCCTCTATTATGTCCTCTTTTCTCTGCTTAGCACAGTATTAGGTTGGTAAATGGAGAATCCCAGGAAAATTCATGCTCATGCTGCTTTTTAAAATAAAACAGGTATTGTCTTCTCTAAGCCAGACCTGGTCACCTGTCTGGAGCAAAGGAAAAAGCCATGGAGTATGAAGCACCCAGGTAGGTGAAAGCGAATGAAGAAGAGGATGACATAGATGAGACATCCAAAGACCGAGAGGAACCCGGACTTTTACATGTGATGTGGGAAGCTGTGCTCCAGTGGAAATCGTTTCTGAAAAGCCTGGGTTTTTTCACTTGTTCTCACATTGGGGCATCCTCTGTCCCATGCTCTCTAATGACTCTACATTTTCTTCCATAATTTTTCTTCAGATTTGCAGTGAGAGCCAAAATTCTCTTTATGGCTTATAAAGGAGTGCACAATCTGACTACTTTTATTGCTTTTGGGGATATACAAATAGCTGTATACTTTTTAGAAACCCTGTGTTTAACAATTTTTAAGTTCTCTTTCTGCATTGTGTCTGAAATATGTAAAAGTAGTGATATTGAGATTTGGTTCAGAAATCCCAGAAATACAGCAAACATATGTTGTATGTTTTCTGCTTTATAGTTTCTTATTTTATGGAGGTTTCAAATGAGTTTCTACAGAAATTCATACTCGGTAATTTAATCAGAATATTAAGGATCTCTTTAAGAATATCTAATGTTATTTGAATTGAAATTTTTATTCTTTTAGTACTAACTGAGGTTGGTAATTTCAATTCTGTCTTAATTTCTCAACTGTAATATAACATATATATTTCCTACATTTCTTCAATTCACTATGTCAGGGAACTTAGAACATTACTGAGCATATGTTAAGCTCCCACTTCTTCCCTTGTTTTTTAAATTACTATTTTATAATTTTATCTTGTTTAGGATAAAGTTTACCAGAACTGTAATTTATATGTGTGTATATATATGTAGGTGTGTATTGTGGATTTTTTTACAAATAAAAATTTTATAATTATATATTTATGGTGTACAATGTAATGACTTACTGCATGTGTAGATTGTAAATGATTAGCACAACTTGTTTATGAACATTTCTATCACCTTTCCTCACATAGGTACCTTTATTGTAATGAAAACATCTAAGATCTGCTGACACCAAATTTTAAGCATACAAAAAATTAGTGTTAACTGTATCATGAAGCTATATGTTACATTCAAAAAACTTACTCATAACAGAAAATTTGTGTCTTTTCAATATCTTTTCATTTTCTCCCATATCTAGTCCCTGACAACTTCCATTGCAGTCTCTGCTTCTGTGAGTTCAGCTTTCTTAGATTCCCCATATAAGTGAGAAGGTGTAGTATTTCTCTTGCTGTGTCTGGCTTATTTCCCTTGGCATAATGTATTCCAGTTCTACCCACGTTGTTGAAATGGCAAGATTTTGTTATTTTTCAGGCTAAATAATATTCTATTGTTTATTTATGCCAGCTTTTCTTTATTCAGCATCCACAAACATTTAGGTTTTTTATATCTTGGCAATTGTGAATAATGCTGCAACAAATATGGTGGTACAGATATGTCTTCAAGTTACTTATTTCATTTCCTTTTGTTATATACACAGAAGTGGGATTGCTAGATTGTGTAGTAGTTCTGTATTTCAAATAACCTCTATTGGTTTTTATAATGACTCCATCAATTTATAACTCTCCAAAAATGTACAGAATTTTTTTTCTTCAAAGTGCTGTCAACACTTGTTATGTTTCTTCTTTTTACATTATCCATTCTAACATGTTTTAAATGATACTCATCTTGGTTTTGATTTGCAGTTGCCTGATATTTGGTGATATTGAGTACTTTATGGCTTATCTGTTGGTCATTTGTATGTCTTCATTGGACAAATATCAGTTTAGTTTTTTGCCTATTTTGAACTGGGTTACTGTTGTTTTTGCTTTTAATCTGCTTGCATTTCTTATATATTTTGTATATCAATCTTTTATCAGATGTATGGTTTGCAAATAATTTTTCCCATTCTACAATTTTTTTTATTTTATTGTTCCCTTTTCTGTGCAGAAGGTTTTTAGTTTGATGCAGCCCAGCTTGTTTATATTTGCTTTTGTTGCTGTACTTTTGGTATTATGTCTAACAAATTATTGTTAAGACCATATCATGAGGGTTTTCCATGTATTTTTTTTCAGGTTTTTTAAGGATTCATATTTAAGTCTGTAATTTAACTTTTAGCATGGTGTAAGAAAAATAAGCTAATTTTATTCTTTTGCCTGGTTCTTTTTTCAGAACAAATATTAAAAAGACTATACTTTGTTCATTGTGTATTTTTGGTGCACTTGTCAAAAATTAGTAAACTTTATAAGCCTGGGTTTATTTCTGGGCTCTAGTCTGTTCCATAGGTTTCTTGTGTCCATATTTTGCATGTATCATCTTGTTTTTTTACTACAATCTTAAAATATAGTTTGAAATCATAAAGTATGAAATTTGGTTGCTTTGTCCCTTTTCCTCTAGATTGCTTTGGTTTTTCAAAGCCTATTGTAATTTCATGTAAATTTTAGAATTGTAATTTCCATAACCGTGAAAAATGTCACTGGATTTTTAATAGAGAGTTCATTGAAATGTAGATCACTTTGAATCATATGGCACTTTATAATATTTATTCTTCCAGTTCATAAGCATGATATATTTTTGCATTTATTTGTGACTTCTTCCATTTCTTTCATCAATATATGTTTCAGTGTAAAGATCTTTTGCCTTCTTTGTTAAATTTATTTTTCAGAAATTTATTATTTTAATTCTATTGGAAATGAGATTGTTTTCTTCCTTTTTTATCAGATGGTTTGTTGTTAGCATATGGAATCATATCTGGTAATTATATATTAATGTTATAGATTTCTAATTTTCTGAGGGCATTTGTTAGTTTTTGATGTACTGTTTATGGTTTTCTATATACAAGATCATGTCACCTACAAACAGCAATATTTTAATTTTTTTCCCTCAATTTGAATGTCATTTTTAGGGGCATTTTCTTGACTAATTCTTCTGCAAAGTACTTCACTGCTATGTTAAAATAGAAACATTGAAAATGGAACTATGTAGCCTTACCCTGGTGTCTATAAATTTGAAGAAGAAAACAGCTCTTTAACTTTTTATAAACTAGTTTCAGGAGGTACAGATCTTCTTTTGTTGGGTCCCCAGGGTAATGGGATGCCCTATGAACTTGTAGTAGGGAAGAGTGTGTAACTGTGTCACAAGGCTGCTGGGTATGCAGTGGATTCCACCTTCAAGTGGCTTTTTACCAGGGGCTTTGGTTGTTGTGACTCCCATCTAATGTCTGGGTGGGCTGGATTTCCTTCAGGAGTTTTACTTATAGGGCAGAAACTAGGACAGATTTCTGCAGTTGGGTGTGTATATGGTGGACCTTATATCGGGATGTGGTAAATGTGGCTACCACTGAGTATTTGGAAGTTTTTTTTCCACATCACTGTGTGGGTTCCTGTGTTGGCAGGAATTGCTGTGAACTGTGGCAAAGACAGCTGAGACTGAGTCACTGAACTCCTTCAGGGGCCGCAGTAGAGACCAAGGTCTGCAGGCCACAGTAGAGGCACAGCTGGAGTGCAGAGGCACAATCTTTGCTCACTGCAACCTCCCAGGTTCAAGCAATTCTCCTGCTTCGGCCTCCCGAGTAGCTGGGATTATAGGTGCCTGCCACCATGCCCGGCTAATTTTTTTGTATTTTTAGTAGAGACGGGTTTTCACCATATTGGCCAGGCTGATCTCTACCTCCTGACCTCAAGTGATCCACCTGCCTCGGCTTCCCAACGTTCTGGGATTACAGGAGTGAGCCACCACGAACAGCCTTCTTGGTTGATTTTCAATAGCTGTCTTACTATGTGAAGGTGAGTAGTCATAGAAATGGTTGTATATTCACCAGGTGTTTAGTGATAAATATATATATTTCCTTCGTGTGAAAGAAACACTTTTGTGATTTGAAGGTGATTTATATTTATATATTTATATATTTTGTGATTTATAGAAAGACGTATATCACTTTTAGTTGTTTTCAAAAAAAATCGAGAAAACGCATAATATAAAATTTACCATTTTAAAGCTTTTTAAGTCTATATTTCAGTGCTGAGTGTGGTGGAGCCTCATGCCTATAATGCCAGCACTTTGGGAAACTGAGGCAGAAGCATTGCTTAAGCCCAGGAACTTAAGACCTGCCTGGGCAGCATATAGAGAGCCCATCCCCACAAAAATTTTAAAATTAGCCAGGTGTTGTGTTGTCCACTTGTGGTCCTAGCTCCTTGTGAGGCCGTGGCAGGAGACTCACTTGTGCATGCAGGGTTGAGGCTGCAGTGAGCTAAGATTATGTGACTTCATTTCAGCCTGCAGGACAGAGTGAGAACCTACCTCAAAAAAGGCGTACATTTTAGTCGTTAAGAGTATTTACATTGTTATGTAAAGACCTGTAGAACTTTTACGTCTTCTAAAATTAAAACTTAATACCCATTAAGTAACAACTGCCCATTTTACCCTCTCTTTAGACCCTGAGTAACACCATTCTCCGTTCTGTTTCTATTTGACTACTTACGATGACTCATATCATGGAATCATATAGTATCTGTCACTTTATTACTATCTTATTTCAGTTGACATAATATTCTCAACGTTTATGTAAGAATGTGACAAGGTTTACTATTTTAAGGCTCAATAATATTCCACTGTATGTATATGTTACATTTTTAATTTGTTTATCCGTTAAGGGATATCTGGGTTACTTCTACCTTTTGGGTTTTGTAAATATTGGTATAATATATTTATATATAATATATTGGTATAATAAATATATTATACCAATATTTATATATTTAATATGTAAATGTTATATATATTAAGTATATAACTTCCAGGTTATATATTTAACCGGTTAAATATATATTAACTGGTTAAATATATATTAACTGGTTAAATATATATTAACTGGTTAAATATATAACTTCCAAATATATATTCAAATATAACTTCCACATTCTTTGTTTGAATATAGATTTATATTTGGAATATACATTTATATTTATGTTTGAATATAGATTTGTAAGTGGAATTCTTGGATTCCATTTATAAATGTATTAATATATAAAAATATATTTTATATTCCAGTCAAATAATATGATTTATATTTGAATATAGGTGTATAAGTGGAATTCCTGAATTATGTAATTTAATTTTTAAGAAACATTCATAATATGATGGTTGCATCCTTTTTTCCCCACCAACAATTCACATGAGTTTTAATTTCTTTACATCCTCAACAGATTTGACATTTTAAAAATTTATCATGGCCATTCTAATGGGTATGAGGTGGTTTTGTTTTGGATTGTAATTTTGTTTTGTATTTCTCTACAATTGGTACTTTTTTTGCATTATTTTAAGTGCTTTTTTCTACTTATATATATATTTGATTAAGTATCAGTTCAATTCTTTGTCCATTTCTGGATCAATTTATTCAATGTTTGTTGTTCAGTTTTAGTTGTTTATCATTCTGAATATTAACTCATCACATGAAATTTGTGAATATTTTCACCCATTCCTTTGATGACATTGTCATTCTACTAAATTTTTTCTTTGCTGTGCAGAGAAAATCTTAAAATATTTAAGTTTAGCATAGTTAAATTTTGGGGGTTTTTATGTTTTTCATAAGTATGATGTCATATCTACAAAAAAGTTTCAAAACCAGTGTTCTGTATTTTTCCTATTTTTTTCTTCTAAGAGTTGTATTAATTATATGTTTTTTAGTTTCATTATTTTATTTAAAATGTGCAAGAAAATAATCCAACTTTATTTTTTTCAGTGTAGATACTCAGTTTTCAACATCATTTGTTGAAGAGATTGTCTTTTCTCTGTTGTGTAGTCATGGCAACTTTGTGGAAGATTATTTGATTATATAAAGAAGGGTTCATTTCTGGGATATTTTGTTCCATCATCTGTTTATTTGTCTCTGTTAGTACCACATTGCTTTTGTTTATTGTTGCTTTTTAATATACTTTGAAATCAGGAAATATAATGCCTCTTTGTTCTTTTTCATGGGTGTTTGGCTAGTTTTAGCTCATAATCAATTTAAAAATTTTTAAACAATATTTCTGGTCAACAATGTACCATTGGAATTTCTTCACCACTGTGAGTTGTTTTCACATTTTGATTAAATTATCTGGACCTTGAGCAAGAATATATTAAAAAGTGTGTTTTATTTCCATATATTTTTGAATTTGCCAGTTTATCTCTTGATTTTGATGTCTAGTATCATTTTATTTTAGTCAGAAAACATAACTGTATAATTTTGGTCATCTTAAAGTTATTTATTTATTTTTGTTGTTATTGACAGACAGATTCTCACTGAGCCACTCAGGCTGGAGTGCTAGTGGTACAATCTTGGCTCACTGCAGCCTCAACCTCCGAGGCTCAAATAATCTTCCCACCTCAGCATCCCAAGTAGCTGGGACTACATACGTGTGCTGTCACGTCTGGCTAGTTTTTTGATTTTTTTGTAGAAATGCGGGTTCTCACTATATTGCCAAGGCTGGTTTTGAAATCCTGGTCTCGAGTGGTTTTTTCTCCCAAGGTGCTGGGGGCTACAGGCATGAGCCACCACACCTGGCCAGTCTTCTTAAACTTAATAATACTTTTTATGTGTCCCAACAGAATGCACCAAGTTCAAGCAAGAATATTGTGTGATCTGTTCCTTTTACTGGAGATTCCTGTACATATTTTTAATTTGTAGTTGGTCTATGATATGATTTGGATGTTTGTAGCCTTCAAATCTCATGTTGAAATGGGATTCCCAATGTAGGACGTGAATCCTTGTGTGATGTGTTTGGGTCATGGGGGAAAATCTCTTGTAAATGATTTTGCACCATCCCCTTGGTGATCAATGAGTTCTTACTCTGTTAATTCACATGAGAGCTGCGTGCTTAAAGAACCTGGCACTTTCTTTTCACGCTTGCTCTCTCTCTCCCCATGCAATATATCTGGTTTCTCTTTGCCTTCATCATGATTGTAAGCTTACTTAGACCCTCACCAGATGCAGAAGCTGGCACCACACTTATTGTACATTGTGCATAACTATGAAGAAAATAAATCTTTTTTCTTTATAAATTACACAGTCTTAGGTACTTATTGCAATACAAAATCAATTAATACAATTTATAATGTCATCCAGGTTTTGTTCTCATTGATGTTTTATCTAAACTTTCACTCATTATTAAAGTGGGGTCTTAATGTCTGTAATTATTATGTTGCTATGTATTTTTTGCTTCACTTCTGTCAATATTAGCTTTATATATTTTGGAACACTGATCTTTTAAATAAATATCATAGTTATAGATTCCTGGTAAATGATCAATGTTATCATTATATAGTAACAATCTTTACCTCATGCTAGTTTTTGATTTACAGCATATTTTGTTTAATATAATTATGACCACCTCACTTAATTGTGGATACTTTTGCATGGAATATGTTTTTTCATTCTCTTTCTTTCAACCTATTTGACTCAAAGTTAAAGTGAGTCTCTTGAAATCCTGGTCTCAAGCAATCTTCCAGTCCTGGCCTCTCAAAGTGCTGGGGCTACAGGCATGAGCCACCACATCTGATTAGTCTTCTTAAACTTAATAAGGCTTGTTACATGTCCTAACAGAGTACACCAAGTTCAAACAAGAATATTGTGTGATTTGTTGCATATTGTGTAATTTTGTTTGTTCTTATTCCATTCAGCCATTTAATTTCTTACTATTAGTTTAATCAATTTACATTTAAAATGATTCCTTAGAGAAATGAAGTTACTATTACCATTTTGATTGTTATTATTTTCTGTGTTTCTTGTAGAGATGTTTTCCATAATTTCCTATTTTACTGTCTTAATTTTTGCTTTTTTGATTTTGTAGTGTTATGCTTTGTTTCCTTTCTCATTTTGTATTGCATACTTTCTATAAACTTGTAATTATTTTGGTAATTGGAGATTATGTAAAACATTTTAAAGTTATAACTATATTACTATGTCATAACTTCAGTTGAATACAAAAACTATACCTCTTTACATCCTGTAGTGGTTTTTTTGTTTGTTTGTTTTGTTTTGATTTTGAGATGGAGTCTCACTCTGTCACCCAGGCTGGAGTGCAGTGGTGTGATCTCGGCTCACTGCAACCTCTGCCTCCCAGGTTCAAGCAATGCTCTGCCTCTGCCTCCCGAGTAGCTGAGATTACAGGCACCCACCACTACGACTGGCTAATTTTTCATATTTTTAGTAGAGATGGGGTTTCATCATCTTAGCCAAGCTGGTCTTGAACTCCTGACTTCATGATCCACCCATCTCGGCCTCCCAAAGTGCTGGGATTACAGGCATGAGCCATTGCACCCAAGCTTACATCCTGTAGTTTTTTATTATTACAAATATTATTTTATATTGTGTGTCTATTAACAGATTTATGCAGATTTTTTTGTTCAAATTCTACAGCAGAATTTTCAGAAATTTTGCTTCATGATTATGGTAGTAAACAATTGTATATGTGTTTATATATTTACATTTAACAGAAAGCTTTATAGTTTCATGTAGTTTTTTAATACTGTTCAGCATCATTATATTTTTCAACATATGGACTCTTTTGGGCATTAAAAAAATAAACAGCATCTCACTATGTTACTCAGGCTCATCTTGAACTCTTAGCCTCAACTAATCTGCCTGCCTTGGCCTCCCAAGTCTCTGGGATTACAGACATGAGCCACTGGTGCCTGGCCACCATGTAGCATTTCTTGTGGGACCATGCCAGTGGTGATAAATACCTTCACCTTTTGTTTATTTTGTAAGTTCTTTATTGTTTCCTTATTTTTAATTCCAGAATAATTCCAAATAATTTCAAAGCAAACAGTATTGATTGGTATTAGTTTTTCTTTTATCACATAAAAATTTGGAAAGTTCTCATCCTCTTTTATCTTCAAATAACCCCTCTACTACTTTTTCCCTACATTTGTCTTCTAAGATTTCTTTTCCAAACGTAGTAATCTAGTTAATGGTGTTCAGTAAGTTTAACATTCCATGTTTTCATTTTGTTTTGCAATTTTATTTTATTTCATTTCACTTTATTTTATATATATATTTTTTGAGATGGAGTCTGGCTCTGTCGCCCAGACTGGAGTGCAGTGGCACGATCTCCGCTCACTGCAAGCTCTGCCTCCCAGGTTCACGCCATTTTCCTGCCTCAGCCTCCTGAGTAGCTGGGACTACAGGTGCCCGCCACCATGCCCAGCTAATTTTTGGTATTTTTTAGTAGAGACGGGGTTTCACCGTGTTAGTCAGGATGGTCTCGATCTCCTGACCTCGTGATCCGCCCCCCTCAGCCTCCCAAAGTGCTGGGATTACAGGCGTGAGCCACCACGCCCAACCAGTTTTATTTCTTTTTTGTTTCATATTTTGGAGTACGCCACCTCACATCAGTTAATTGTGTTTTTAGTTTTTATTTTGTATGATAATTGTGAATGACAATATTCAACTCTGTACACTTTAAGACAGTGTGGAGCCAAAGTTAAATACGAATCAGTCATATGTCTATAACTAATATAATAATTTATTTGTTTGTGTATACACATATTATTTCTGTATTGTTTATGACTTGTATGTTTGTGAGTGATCAATGATGGTTTTATCTGAGTAGTCATAAAAACTCTCCTACTTCTAGTATCTATTTGGGAATTTATTTTTGTGTAGGAGAAACACTTTTTTGATTTGAAGGTAATTTTAAAAACTATCAATTTAGTCCCTTTTTTAGGTATTATTACTGTTTATTTTTAATTATCAAGAACATAAAATTTAGAATCTTAATTTAAAAGAAGTGTGTAGTTTATATTAATTATTTGGACATTATTATACAATATATCTCTAGAATGTTTTTGTCTTGCAAAACTAAAACTGAATACACATTAAACAACTACTCATTTCTCCCATTTTCTGGCCCTTTATGAACAATTCTGTTTTCCTGTTTTTGAGTCTAACTGCTTTAAATATCTCATGTAAGTGGATTCATACAGTATTTTTTGTGGCTGACCTATGTTATTTTGCATAATTTCATGAAAGTTTATTATGGTTGTGAGAATATTTCCTTTTTTTTTAGACGGAGTTTCACCCTTGTTGCCCAGGCTGGAGTGCAGTGCAGCGATCTCAGCACACCACAATATCCGCCTCCCAAGTTCAAGCCATTCTCCTTCCTCAGCCTCCTGAGAGGAGGCTTGGATTACAGGCATGCACCACCATGCCCGGCTAATTTTTGTAAGTAGAGACAGGGTTTTTCCATGTTGGAAAGGCTGGTCTCGAACTCCCAAACTCAGGTGATTCACCCACCTCGGCCTCCCAAAGTTCTGGGATTACAAGTGTGAGCCAGTGTGCCCCACCTGTATTTCCTGTTTTTAAATACTGAGTAATATTCCATTATTTTTATGTTTCAAATTATATTTATCCAGTAATCTGGGGAGAAAAATTTGCATTGCTTTCACCTATTGCCTGTCAATAACAATGCTGTAAAAATTATGGATGTGCAGCCGGGAGCAGTGGCTCACACCTGTAATCACAGCACTTTGGGAGGCCAAGATGGGTGGATCATAAAGTCAGGAGATCGAGACCATCCTGGCTAACACGGTGAAACCCCATCTCCACTAACAATACCAAAAAATTAGCCGGGCATGGTGGCAGGCACCTACAGTCCCAGCTACTTGGGAAGCTGAGGCAGGAGAATGGCATGAACCTCGAAGCTGGAGGTTGCAGTGAGCCTGGATTTTGACACTGCACTCCAGCCTGGGCAACAGAGCGAGTCTCCATCTAAAAAAAAAAAAAATTATGGATGTGCAAATAACTCTTCCTGTGATTATATGTGTGAGAGTTTATAATGATACTACATTCTGTTTATTTGGTCTAGTTCACTTTTTATAACGAAACCAAATTGTTTTAAGTCTATACAATGTGTTTTGAAATCAGGGAGTTGTGATGCCTCCAAGGTTGTTCCTCTCTTTGAAGATTATTGGGTGTTTCATTGTTTCTTAAAATTTCATATAATTTTGGTGTTGCTTTTTCTATTTCTTCTAAAATAAAATTAGATATTTGAAAGGGATTGCATTAAATCTGTAGATTACACTGAGCAGTATGGGCATCTTCACAATATTAATTATTTTACTCTTTGATCACGCTGAATATTAATTATTTTACCCTTTGATCATGCTGAAGAGTGTGTTGTTTAATTTTCATGTATTTGTAAATTTTTTAGTTTTGTTTTTGTTGATTTCTACTCTCATTCCATTTTGGTCATAAAAAGTAATCTATCAATTTCAATTTTTAAAGATTTAGTAAGTTTTTATTTTTATCATGGCCTAACAGGCAGTTTGTCAAAGAGAATATATGTGAGCTATTGAGAATGGTTGTACCCTGCTATTGTTAAGGGGTGTTGTTAGGCATAATATTGTTTTATACTTCTTTCTTTGTATATTTTTTTCTTTTTGAGATGGAGTCTTGCTCTGTCGCCGAGGCTAGATTGCAGTGACGCAATCTCGATTCATTGCAAACCCCACTTCCCTGGTTCAAGCAATTCTCCTGTCTTAGCCTCCTGAGTAGCTGGGATTACAGGCGCCTGC
Source organism: Homo sapiens (assembly GCF_000001405.40). Classification (NCBI taxonomy): domain Eukaryota; kingdom Metazoa; phylum Chordata; class Mammalia; order Primates; family Hominidae; genus Homo; species Homo sapiens. The sequence goes on along the minus strand of NC_000014.9, from coordinate 18,400,035 downwards.
TACCGCATCTGGCTATTTTTAGTAGAGATGGGGATTTGCCATGTTGGCCAGGCTGGTCTCAAACTCCTTACCTCAGGTAATCTGTCTTCATTGGCCTCCCAAAGTGCTGGAATTACAAGCATGAGCCACTTGTTCCCATCTGTACTGCTTTCAGTTTCTCTTTTCCATTTTTTTTTTTTTTTTTTTTGAGACAGAGTCTTACTCTCACCCAGGCTGGAGTACAGTGGTGCGATCTCGTCTCACTGCAAGCTCCGCCTCCTGGGTTCATGCCATTCTCCTGCCTCAGCCTCCTGAATACCTGGGATTACAGGCACCTGCCAACATGCCCTGCTAATTTTTTTGTATTTTCAGTAGAGACCGGGTTTCATCGTGTTAGACAGGATGGTCTCCATCTCCTGACCCCGTGATCGCCTGCCTTGGCCTCTCAAAGTGCTGGGATGACAGGCGTGAGCCACCGTACCTGGACCCCTTTTCCATTATTAATATTGTTTTGTTTTATTGTTCGTTGCAGAAATTGAAGTATTAAAATATCTTATTATAATTATATTGCTCTCTATTTGTTGCTTTCATTCGGTCAATTTTTGCTTTGTATTTTTGGAAACCTAATGTGAGAAATACACATACACATGCAAACATATAAATATATGTATGCACATATTTGTCATACGTTTTCAATAAATGATATCTTTATTATTGTTTAATGACCTTTTTTCTCTTGTGAATTTTGACATAAAATATATTTTATAAAATAAGAGAGTTGTTGACTTACAATGTATAGATCTCAAGTGACTCTTGAAGAAAGGCAAGTTGGATCTTGGTATATAAAATTTTATATAATCCCTCTATTCAATGTATGTGTATTGATTGGCAAATCTATTTTTAAAATATTTATTTTCTGAAGAAAAAGATTATTGTTATTTTATTGTTTAATGATTCTTGTATGTCTGTTTCTCATTCTATCTTCCTTTGTGTCCTTTTTAATTTTTGTATGGATAGGCTGTCACTTCTTTCTTACTTCCTTTTTTGTATCTATACAGACATTTTCTTTGTGGGTGCCTTCAGGATTATATAAAAACCTCTTAAAATTTCAACAATATATTTTGAAGTGGTGAAATTTAAATTCGGGTTCATGCACAAATTATTTCTTATTACATCTGTCCTCAACTTAGTTATTGATGTCACTAAACATATCTATTTATGTTATATATCTGTTAACAGATGCTCATTATTATTTTTAGCTTTTATCTTTAAATTTTAGAGAATAATTAAATAAAACATTTTTTGGTATTATGATAAAGCTACAGGATATTTTTCTATAATATTTGCATATCTTTATATCTTTCCTAGAAAACTACCTATTTTTATATGATAGTTTTGTTTTTTAGCATCGTATAGTTTTAGTAGGAGGACTCTTCTCAGCATTTTTTGTAGGGCACATGTAGCATTGATATAATTTTTCCACATTTGGTTATCTTTAGAGGTCTTTCCTTTTTCTTCATTTTTGTAGCACTGTTTTGCTGGTTATCTTATTCTTACATAGATGCTATTTTTCACTTGGCACCTCGACTATAGCACACAATTTCCTTCTGGCCTGTAAGGTTTTTGTTAAAAGAGTCACTGGTTATATCATAGAACCATAATTATGTATTTTCCAGCATTTGAGATTCTCTTCTTGTCTGTGACTTTGGGAGCTTTGCTTTGCATATCTTGTTATGGATCTGTGAGTTTCCTAGTTTTAGTATGTTGAGCTTCTTCATTTTTACAACCTTATTTTCTTACTTTTGAGAATTTCTCAGGTATTCTTAATTTTTTGAGAGAGTGTCTTGCTCTGTCACCCAGGTTTGAGTACAGTGGCATGATTGCAGCTTACTGCAGCCTTGGATTCCCTAGGCTTACGTGGTCCTCCTAACTCAGCCTCCTGTTTACTGGGACCACAGGTGTGTGCCAATACACCTGACTAATTTTAATTTTTATAGAAGAGAAGTATTGCCATGTTTCCCAGTTTAAACTTGAACTCCCAAGGTTCAAGTGATCTGCCTGCCTCAAACTCCAAAGTGCTGGGACTACAGACATGAGCCACTACAGCTGGCCTCAGCCAATATTTCTATTTCTATTTTCTACTTCTATAATTTCTATTATATTTTTCATCTTTTCCTTGATATTATATTTTTTCCTGATTTTATTTAGTTACCTGTGTTCCCATGTAAGTTAAATTTTTAAAATTAAAGTGTATGCCTTCATTTTCATGGTTGTCTTCTGACAGTTTTGAGGGTTTTTTTCTGTTTTTTTTTTTTTACTTAGGCCATGTCACTGTAATATTTTGTATGTATTGTACTCTTTGGTTGAGATTTGGACATTAACAAACAGGTACCTGTCACAATCTTTATAATGCTGTGTTGTCCTAACATAGTCTGAAACCAATTGTCTCTACTAGAGATTCTGGGAGCCTATCAAATATGTTATGATGTGTCTTGTGTGGAATTTTGTGTTGATTATTTAGTTAAAGGGGTTTGCCTGTGTTTCTTAACAGTCTGTAATTACTTCCTGTATGTATTGCATGTCGTGGTACTGTAGTTTGTTGCTGTAACATTTACCTTTCTTCTCAGCAGACTCAAGCTGTTATTTCAAAGTATACCATCATTTCTTTCAACACATTTTGTCATTGGAGACAGAAACAAATCTCTATAAAAGTGCCCAGAAGCCAGAAGTAAAAATACATGAGCCAGTGTTTTTTTTTCTATGTTGAGGAAGATGCCAGGCATTGCAGTTTACTTCTAAAAGTGCCATGCTGCATTATGGAGGAGGAAAGGTGTTGGGCAAATGTAACAAACTTTTCTATCCATTCAGTGTGGCTTGTGGCATTTTGTTCAACTGGTACACTGAACACACTTAATTCATTTATAGATTTTCCATAAAGACATTTTGGTCAGTACAGTTTTGTTATAAGGCTATAAAAGAATTAGGACCTGTGGTATTTTTGTTATGCCATGTTGCTAATGTACTTTGTATAATTTTATGTATTAGATTTGTAAACAATAGATTTGTATATTTACATGGGCCTAGTGAGATAATTTGTTATTTTTATTTCTTTCAGCCGTGTTCTCATTTCACCCAAGACCTTTGGCTAGATCAGAACATAAAAAATTCATTTCAAAAAGTGATGATGAGAAGATATGGGAAATGCAGACATGAGAATTTACAAATAAGAAAAGGTTGTAAAAGTTTGAATGCATCTAAGGTGCAGGAAGGAGGTTATAATGGACTTAACCAATGTTTGTTGATTACTCAGAGCAAAATACTTCAAAGTAATACATGTGTGAAAGTCTTTAGGAAATTTTCAAATTCAAATAGACTTAGGAGAAGACATACTGGAGAGAAACCTTTCAAATGTAAAGAATGTGGCCAATTCTTTCACAGGTTCTCACACCTAAGACAACATCAGATAATTCATACTGAAGAGAAACCCTACCAATGTGAAGAATGTGGCAAAGATTTTAAGCAGTCTTCAGATCTTACTATACATGAGAGAATTCATACTAAAGAGAGACCCTACAAGTGTGAAGAATGTGACAAAGCCTTTAAACAATCTTCAAAACTGAATAAACATAAGAAAATTTATACTGGAGACACAACCTACAAATGTGAAGAATGTGGCAAAGCCTTTTCCTATTCCTCAACCCTTACTCAACATAACATAGTTCATACTGAAGACAAACCCTACAAATGTGAAGAATGTGGCAAAGCTTTGAAGTAGTCTTCAACTCTGACTATACATAAGATTATTCATATGGGAGAGAAATCCTACAAGTGTGATGAATGTGGCAAAGCCTTTAAAAAATCCTCAAAACTGAAAGAACATAAAAGAATTCATACTTGAGAGAAACTCTATAAATGTGAAGAATGTGGCAAAGCTTTTTACTGTTTCTCAGGCCTTACTCAACATAACATAGTTCATACTGGAGACAACCCCTACAAATGTAAAGATTGTGGCAAAATTTTTAAGTGGTCTTCAGACCTTAGTATACATCAGATAATTCATAGTGGAGAGAAACCCTACAAATGTGAAGAATGTGGCAAAGCCTTTAAACAATCCTCAAAACTGAATGAACATATGAGAGCTCATACTGGAGAGAAATCCTACAAATGCAAAGAATGTGGCAAAGCTTTTAAACAACCTTCAGGCCTTACTCTACATAAGAGAATTCATACTGGAGAGAATCCTTACAAATTCGAAGAATGTGGTAAAGCCTTTTATTGATTTTTAAGCTTTACTAAACATACGATAATTCATAGGGGAGAGAAACCCTACAAATGTCAAGAATGTGGCAAAGCTTTTAAGTGGTCTTCAAACCTTACTATACACAAGATAATTCATACAAGAGAATTCATACGGGAGAGAAACCCTACAAATGTGAAGAATGTGGCAAAGCTTGTAAGCAGTCTTTGGGGCTTACTATACAAAAGAGAATTCATACTGAAGAGAAACCCTACAAATGTGAAGAATGTGGTAAAGCCTTTTACTGTTCCTCAAACCTTATTCAAAATGACATAGTTCATACTGAAGAGAAACACTACAAATGTCAAGAATGTGGCAAAGCTTTTAAGAAGTCTTTAGACCTTAATGTACATAAGATAATTCATAGTGGAGAGAAACCCTACAGATATCAAGAATATGGCAAAGTCTTTAAACTATCCTCAAAACTGAATGAACATAAGATAACTCATAGTGGAGAGGTATCCTACGAATGTGAAGAATGTGGCAAAGGCTTTTACTGCTCCTCAAGCCTTACTAAGCATACGATAGTTCATACTGAAAAGAAACTGTACAAATGTGAAGAATGTGGCAAAGCTTTAAAGTGGTCCTCTGAGCTTCCTATACATCGGAGAATTCATACTGAAGAGAAACCCTATAAATGTGAAGAATGTGTCAGAGTCTTTAAACACTCCTCAAAACTGAATGAACATAACAGAAATCATACTGGAGAGAAACCCTACAAATATGAAGCATGTGGCAAAGCTTTTTAAGCAGTCTTCAGGCCTTACTATACATAAGAGAATTCATACTGGAGAGGAATCCAGAAATGTGAAGAATGTTGCAAAGCCTTTTACTGGTCCTTAAGCTTTACTAAACATAAGAGAGTTCATACTGGAGAGATACCCTACAAATGTCAAGAATGTGGCAAAACTTTTTCTTGTTCCTCAAGTTTACTCGACATAAGAGAGTTCATACTGAAGAGAAATCCCACAAATGTAAAGAATGTGGGAAAGCCTTTAACCAGTCCTTATGCCTTATTAAACTTATGAGAATTCATACTGGAAAAAAATCATACAAATCATAAGACTGTGGCAAAATCTTTTAAGTATTGCTCAAATATATCCATCCGTAATTCATACTAAAGATTATGCCTATGAACCTAAAAAAGTTTGGCAGAGCTTATGAATACACCTCAAACTTTCCTAAGCATTGGAGAAATATCACTGAGAAACCTCAGAAAACTGAACAATGTGGCAAGGCTTTTAAATGGTTGTCACATCTTACTGTAGGCAAAATAATTGATAGTGGAGAAAATCTCTACAAACAAAGAATGTGTCAAAACTTCTGACATGCTCATACCTCATGACACATAAAAGCATTTATACTTGAAAAATTATACAGAGTGTGGAAAAGCCATTTCTATCTGCTCACATCATAGTCAACATCAGTAAGTTCATACTTAATAAAATTATTATAAATGTAATTACTTTTGAAAGACCTTGGAAAATTTAAACTCTTAAAGTAAAAAAGAGTATTCTGGAGACAAATATTACAAATATAAAGAGGGTTGTAATACCTTTACTTGCCCTATATAATGTACAGATTTTATGGTAGAAGAAAACTCTAATGGAATTACTCAAACTTGTTCAGCATCAGAGAATTTATATTGAAGGAAACCATACAAATGTAATAAATGTGGAAAAACATTTTTTCAGAAAATACAGCTTACAAAACACCACACAGTTTATAATAAAAGATATTTTTGCAGAGGGAACACATGTGTAAAAATATTTAGTCAAAATTAAGTCTTTGTAAACTTTAGAAAATTCACAGTAGGAAGAACTAAGGCACTGGCACTTAAGACGTTACACTAAATCAGAATGTTCTGTATAGAAAGTAATCCAAAGCTAAAACTGTTGGATAATTTATTTGTATATAAGTTTAAGAGGAGTGGAAGATTATTTTTTGGAGTTATAATTACATTCAAGGTATACGTTTTTCCTTGAAAAAAATGTAGATTTTTTGAAAAGCAAATAGTAAGGTAATTCAACTGTAAAATTGCTTCATGCTGTTCCTTTTTTCCTGTTGTTTGTTTAAAAGCATGTCATCAATTTCTGTTGCATCAGAAATCTGAGAAATTCCCTTCTTATTAGGTAGGCATCATTCATTAACTTTTCCATGGAAGAGTAAGGATATTAAAATGTAAGATGCATATTGAAAATCTAATTGGAGAGGCTCTTTATGTCTGACTTTTAACATTGTTCATGTGATACATGAGTTATGTGTTTAGAGTGATATTCTGCATTATAGTGAGAGGAAAACTTTGTTTTAGTAGTAAATTGTTTTACCAATTGTACTTTTATGCAATAAAATGTAGGGAATTTTAAAATTCTTTTATAAGACTGTGATAACTTAGCTTTTAAATTAAATGAAATAGTTTTAAACTTTTTAAGACCTGCATTTAGTAAAGTGCTATGTCACCAACTTTAACGTGTCCCACCTTGTTAAAGATGTAGATAAAAGATGGTAACATAGTAGAATGACCTCTCTAGCAATCTCTTTTGCCTGTGGCATTAAACTGAAAGGTTTAAGAGTATTGTTTCAATGGGTAAAATGTACATTTGTTTAACGTTTTAAATTTTTGTAGGAACATAGTATTGTTTACCTATTTATGGCATATATAGAATATTTTCATACAGGCATACAACTTGTAATCACATCAGAGTAAATGAGGTATTCATTACGTAATGCATGTTTTGTGTGTGTTACAGACAATCCAATTAAACATTTTTAGTTATTTTAAAATGTACAAGTAAATTATTACTTGCTACAGAGGTTTTTTTATGGTCATAATAATAATTACATAGTAGTATAATAAGAAATCTCACATTTCTAAGTCCTGAATAAATATTTTTAAAAATTGGTCATATATATTTTGAACAAGTGGCCTCTCTGCCTGTAAACTCATACAGACTGTTAGTTTTTACTTACGTGATGCTAAATATACAAATATATTACTCTTAAGATAAACATTAGGTGTAAGAAAATTGTGGGGCAAGTAATTGTGTGAGTGTGAGTGTACCTATTTTCAGAAGACAAGAAATATTGGAACAAAATATCGCTTTAATAAAGTGGACAAATAGTTTACTAGAAGATGAGAAACCTCAGTGATTTTGAATATCTGTATTCTCTGTATTTTATTTAATTAATTACTGTGAAGTCTTATGGATTGCTTTTCCGAATCTTTCCATGCAAATTCTTTCTTTCATGTGCCTGGTACTCATGGTAGACTGATATTTTTTTCATATTTTTTGTGTTTATAATTTATTAAGTATTCATTATGTGAGTTGCTCAGGTATTCTAAGAATTTTTATAAAATTTACTAATGCACGCAAAATAATTTTTCAATGTTATTTCACAATGAGTGTATTAACTTATATTTCTTTTGTTGCTTTCTTTTTTCTTTTTTTTTTTTTTGAGATGGTGTCTCACTCTGTCGCCCAGGCTAGAGTGCAGTGGTGGGATCTCAGCTCACTACAACCCCCACCTGCTGGGCTCAAGAAATTCTCTTGCCTCAGCCTCCTAAGTAGCTGGGACTACAGGCATGTGTCACCATGCCCAGCTAACGTTTTTGTATTTTTAGTAGAGACAGTGTTTCACTATAAATGGCCAGAGTGGCCTTGAACTCCTGACCTGGTGGTCCACCCACCTTGGCCTCCCAAGGTGCTGGGATTACAGGCATGAGCCACTGCATCTGACCAACTTATATTTCATTTAGTTAGAACATCCCATTTTGTTATTTTAATTGGAGAAGCCTGTGTAAGCTAAGTTTCCTTTATTATTGTTCCTTTTACTCTTTATAATTGACATAGGTTAATTTATTCATTCAGCCAATTTGTTTAGGTAAATACTGGGGAGGCTTCATAAGTCATAAAGATATTTTGATATGTAAATGTAGCAAACACAATGCTTGCTGATGCACCATTATTGGCCACAAATATTTCTGCTGGAGTTAGTTTGTAGCTCCAAGTAAAAATAAAGAAATACGCATGGTGAAGAAAGAAAATCAATTCTGTATATGGAGAGGACACTGTTCTTATGCTGCAAAATTGTCTCTTTCTGAATTTAAAGAGACATTCTGCTTATTTTCTGATTATCTTTAGTTTTGTTTGTGTGTCTACTTATGTTTATCCCAACTGTGTATGCATCACAGCCCTTCTTTTTATTCTTTGTGTTATGGCTACATCTTTATTGCTGTTTGTTTTGTGCCATGCCACTTCACACAGTACTTTGTAGGTTCTGATGAAAGTTTGTCAATGTAACTTTCAGATCTGTTAATTGAGATAAAAGGCATGCAGTGTTCACAGGTGAGAGGAATAAATCAGTCAGAATTTCTTGTCTTTGTAAAACCAAACTTTTATCAAATTTTAACACAGTCTGTGTGTGGTAGCTCACACCTATAATCCCAGCACTTTGGGAGGCTGAGGTGGGAGAATCACTAGGTCAAGAAGTTGAGACCTTCCTGGACAATATGGTGAAACCCCATCTCCACTAAAAATACAAAAATTAGCTGGGCATGGTGGCATGCACATGTTGACCTAGCCATTCAGGAGGCTGAGGCAGGAAAATCGCTTGAACCCAGGAGACAGAGGTTGCAGTGAGCTGAGATTGTGCAACTGCATTCCAGCCTGATGATAGAGTGAGACTTCATCTCAAAAAAAAAAAAATTAACACAAGGTATGGAAAATATAAAATTAGTTAGAAGATATGTCTTAGAAATTAAACTTTTAGAAGAGTTAATGTTAAGTGGAGAATGTTAAATTTAATTTTTTATTACATACTTACAGCTCAACTTAAGTTTTCATTCAGAATCTTTTATTTTGGTGTGAATGTTAAATATTCGAAAATAATAGAATGACACCTGTGGATTTCACTTGTGAAATAATCTTTTTCATATTAATGTTAAAATCTTGAGGAATTTCTCACACTTGTATAATGTACTTTTTTATTGGGTGCAGTTTACAATTTAGAGGTTTCAGTCTTTGTCACCTAACTAGTCAACTCCTTGGTCATTTTATCTCGAAAAATTTTAAAGATCATGGCATCTTTTGAGTTAAAAAATGTCTTCAGTGGTCTGGGATGCAAACTTATTTACTCTCTTCAGAGTGGTTTAATCATGTGAAACACAGCAAGAGCTGCCCTTTTTGTGTCTTCCCTATCATTACCACCAGCACCAGAAACTCCAGTTGTCCCAAGCTCAAAATAAAAGCCCTAAGGTACATTGGCTTCTCCCATGCTCTGTGCTGGTTCCCGAACATGGTGGTAAATATTAGAGTTCATATGGTCATGACTGACTAGGTGACAAAACAGCACAGAAACTGTATCTTTCATACTATTCAGACAGGTTTACGACAAAAACACAGGTCAGAATTTGAAACATTGTCATTTTTAATACTTTTTATAAATATATTTTTAAATTCACTGATGAAATATGTATTTATTTTGTAAAATAGTATTTTGAAGTAAATATACATTGTCGATGCCTAATTTTAGGTAATTGTCAAATGCTTTGCCTCACATTGTTATTATTTTTGTGGTGAGAAGACAACATTTATTGTCTTAGTATTTTTTCAGAAATACAATACATGCATTATAATCTCTTGAACTTATTTTTCTTATCCAATTGTAATTATGTAATCAAGATACGTTTTGTAGAATCCACATGTGAGTGAAATCATGAGATATTAACCTTTCTGTGCCTTATTTCAACAACCATAGTGTCCTTTAGGTTTATCTTTGTGATTAAAAATAAGATTTTCTGTTGAAAATACACTATTTGATTGTATATATACCATAGTGTCTGCATTTCGTCATTGAATGATGGACACATATGTTGATTCTATGTTTTGGCTTCTGTAAAGTGTGCTGCAACAAACTGAATTGCAGATGTCTGTTCATCAATCTAGTTTCATTTGTGTTGTAATAGATATCCAATAGTTCAATTACATGTTAGAGTTTAATTGTTTTGCAAAATTTCTATTTTTCATAATGGCTGTTTTTATTTACATTGACACAAACAGTGTGAAAGCTCCCCTCTTTCTCTTTTTTCAAGTTTACCAACAATTTTTTTAAGCATTTTAACAGGAGTGAGTTTATATCTTAGAGTTGTTTTGGTTTGCCTTTCCTTGATGATAATTGACTTTGAGCCATATTCATCTATCTGCCAAGCTATATGTATGTCTTTCTTTGAAAATTATTTATATAGATCTTTTGCTTATTTTTCATGGTTATTTGTTTTTTGTTGTATAGTCCTTTGAGTTTCTTATATATTTTTGATATTAACTGCTTTTCACGTGTAATTTGCAAATATTTTCTTCCATTTTTCAGTTATGTCATTCTGCTGATTGTATCTGTTGGTGTGCAGCAACTTCTTAATTTTAAGGAATCTGATTTGTCTTTTTCCCCCTAAAATTTTGAGGTGAAACCCAAGAGTCACTGCCCAGACCAATGTTATGAGGCATTCATTCTATATTTCCTCATCTTAGTTTTAGATTTTCAGGTCTCGTATTTAAGTATCTAATTTGAGTTAATTTTTATATATGGTGTGAGATGAAGGTCTGATTTTATTATTTTGCATGTGGATATATATTTTCTCAACATCATTTATAAAAGAGACTGTTCTTTTTTTAAAAAAATTGTCATCTTTATTTACAATCAGTTGTCTGTAAATACATGAATTTATTTCTGGTCTTTCTCTTTTGCTCTGCTGGCCTTTGTGTCCATTTTTATGTAAGTAACACTCTGTTTTGATTACTGTAGCTTTGTTGGACATTTAAAAGTCAGGTAGAGTGATTCCTTCAGCCTTTTATTTTTCATTTTCTGCTTGATTTTCTTAGCTATTAAGGCCTTTTGTGGGGCAATATACATTTTAGATTTTTTAAAAACCTTTCTGTGGAGAATTTAACTGGTATTTTAATAGAAGTTTTATTATATCTGTATATCAGCTTGTGTAATGCTGATATTTAACAATATTAATCATGCCCATTTATGAATTAGAAATATCTTTTTGTTTGAATATTATTTTCTAACTTTTTTTTAGATTATAATGTACAGATCTTTCACCTTTTTGGTTACATTCATTTCTAAGTATAGTTATTGCTGCAATTATTGTAGATGGGATTTTTTTTGGTTTTATTTTCAGATACTTTATTGTTAGTGTATAGAAATATTACTGAATTTTTTATGTTGATTTTGTATCCTGCAAGTTTAATAAAATTGTTTATTCTAATAATTTTTTGTGAAGTCCTAGGTTTTTCTATACTTAAGATTATATCATCTGCAAGGAAAATATAATTTATCTTCTTCATTTTATTTAAGGTTGTTTTGATTTTATTGAATAATTTTTCTGTCTTGGTCATTTTGTATTATGTTCAGTAAGATCAAAGAAATTGGGCTGGGTGTGGTGGCTCACACCTGTAATCCCAGCACTGTGGGAGGCAGAGGTGGATGCATCACGAGGTCAGGAGACCAAGACCATCCTGGCTAACAAGGTGAAACCCCGTCTCTACTAAAAAGACAAAAATTAGCCTGGTGTGGTGGTGGGCACCTGTAGTCCCAGCTACTCAGGAGGCTGAGGCAGGAGAATGGTGTAAACCTGGGAGGCAGAGCTTGCAGTGAGCCAAAATTGCACCACTGCACTCCAGCCTAGGCAACAGAGTGAGACTCCATCTCAAAAAAAAAAAAAAAAAAGGATTGGAGAAATTGGACATCCTTGTCTTGTTCTAGCTCTTAGAGAAAAGGCTTACAGTTTTTCCTTATTCAGTATATTAGGTGTGCATTTTTGTTACACACGACATTACCTTGAATTTCATTTATTTTATAACTAGTTCAAGAGATTTATTATGAGGAGATATTGAATTTTGTTACACTTTCATTATACATCTATTTGAATGTTACATTTGTGACAACCAATCCCACAAAAATACAAAACATACTTGCAGACTACTATATATATCTCTGTGCACACCAACTAGAAAGTCTAGAGGAAATGAATAAACTCTTAGAAATATACAACCTCCCAAGATTGAATCAGGAATAAACAAATCTTGAAGAAACCAAAATGTGTAAGCAAATTGAATTGGTGATAAAAAAAATCTACCAATTATAAAAAGTGCTAAACCAGATGCATTCACAGCATGATTTTATCATGTATACAAAAATGAGTCAGCTATAATTCTACAGAAAGTATTCCAAAAAATCAAAGTGGGACTCCTTCCTAATTAATTCTATCATATCAGTCTCATCTTGATATATTAATCAGGTAAAGACACACACAAAAAATTACAGGCCAATATCCTTGATGAATACAGACACAAAAATTATTCATGAAATGCTTGCAAACTGAGTCAGGAAATCAAAGTTATTTCACTGCAACTATGTGGACATTATTCTGTGAATGCAGGAATGTTTTAACATGTGCAATCTATAAATGTGATTCAACATATAAAAATAATTTAAAAACAAAACCACATTACCTCAATAGATGTGGAAATAGCAATTAATAAAATGTAATATCTATTTATGAAAAGAATTCTCAAAAAACTAGGCATTGAAGGAACATACCTCAAAATAATAACAGCCACATGAGACAAATCCTCAGCCAACATCATACTGAACAGGTGAAAGATTAATGCATCCTTCCTAAAAACTGAAATAAGAAAAGAATGTGCACTTCCACCACTCCTATTCAACATAGTCCTGAAAGTTTTAGCCAGAACAATCAGGCAAGATAAAGAAAGGAAAAGCACTCAAATAAGAGAAAAGGAAATCAACTTATCTGTCTTTACTGATGCTATAATTTTCTACCAACTTCAAAGACTCCTCCAAAAGACTCCTAAGCCTAATAAAAGACTTCAGCAAAATCTCAGCAACAACAACAAAAAGCAAAACAACATTCAAAAATGAGGAACATTTCTACACCAGTAACACTTAAGCAGAGCAAAATTAAGAAAACAATCCAGTTTACAATAGCCAGAAACAAAAAATAAAATAGTGATCCATTAAACAAAGGAGGTTAAATATCTCTACTAGAAGAACTACAAACCACTACTGAAAGAAATCAGACACAGTGCAAATAAATGGAATAGTATTTCATGCTAATGGATTAGAATTATTAAAAATTTCATACTGCCCAAAGCAATTGACAGTTTATTTGTATTTCTATCACTCTACCAATGCCATTTTTTATAAAATTAGACAAAAAAACTATTCTAAAATTTATATGTAAACAAAAAAGCTCAAATAGCCAAGGCCATACTAAACAAAAAGTATAAACCTGGAGACATTATGTTACCAAACTTCAAACTTTACCACAAGTTACGGTAATCAATATAATGTGGATGCAGATACACACACACACATATCCCTATTGAACAGAAGAGAGAGCCCTGAAATGAAGCTGAACTCTTACAATTAATTGATTTTTGACAGCATCAACAGAAACAAATGGAAAGAACTCCCTACCCAATAAAAGGTGCTGGAAAAACTGGTTAGTCATATGCAGAAGAGGAAAACTCGACTCATGATATGGAAAATTAACTCAAGATACATTAAAGACATATCTGTAAGAGTTCAACCTATAAAAATCCTAAAAGAACACCTAGAAAATTCTCTCCTTGGCATTGGTCTCTGTAAAGAATTAATGACTACATCCTCAAAAGTGAAAGCAACAAAAATAAAAAATAAAAATTGTGACCTGCACAGCAAGAGAAACTATTAACAAAATAAACAGACAACCTACAGTATGGGCTAAAATATGTGTAAACTGCATACAACAAATAACTAATATATATGTTTTATAAGGAATTTAAGAAAAAATATTGACAAAAAATGTGAACATATACTTTTAAAAGACAAGAAAAGCAGCCATCAAACATATGAAAAATGGATCAACATTTCTAATGATTAGAGAGATGTAAATCCAAACTACAATGTGATACCATCTCACCCCAGTCTAAATGACTATTATTAAAAAGTAAAAAAAAAAAAAAAAAAACAGATATTAAAATTGTGTAGAAAAGAGAACCCTGATATACTTAGTGGGAATGCAAATTAGTTCAGCTCCTGTAGAATGCATTTTGGGGATTTCTCAAATGACTAAAACTAAAGTTACCATTTGACCCAGCAGCCTCACTACTGGGCATATACCCAAATACAAATAAATTTTTCTTCCAAAAATACACTGCACTCGTATGTTTATTGCAGCACTAGTCACAATAGCAAAAACATGGAATGAAACCATGTGCTCATAAATCTTAAGATGGATTTTAAAAATTAGGTAATTACACACCATCCAATACTATGCAGCCACTGAAGAAGAATCTTGTAATACTCTTTGCAGCAACATGGATGCAGCTCAAGGTCATGATCCTAAGCAAATTAACACAGAACAGAAAACCAAATACTACTTTTTCTCACTTATAAATGGAAGCTAAACATTGGGTACACACGGAAGCAATGATGAGAACAATAAACACTAAGGATTCCAAAACGGAGGGAGAAGGGGTACAAGGGTTAAAAAGTACTTATCATGTATCATGTACACTACCTGGGCAAAGGGATTATTAATTGCCCAAACCCCAATGTCATGCAGTATACCTATGTTACAAATCTGCACGTGTATCCTTGAATCCAAAATAAAAATAATAAAGTACTTTGTGATATAATGCCATGTTAGATTTCTCCAGTTTTGGTTAATGGTTGGAATTAAGGGTGGAAGACATAGAATTTTGTCCCCTTTAGACATAGGGGTGAATGTTTCTATAACAGGTCTCCTGACATCCTATAGGCTATTTTCTCTGAAAGCCCTTGGCCTTAGTCTTGAGTGTGCAGCTAAAATAAATGACAGTATATCAAGCTTGTCCAACTCATGACCTACAGGCTGCATGTGGCCCAATATGGCTTTCAGTGCAGCCCTAAACAAATTCATAAACTTTCTAAAAGCATTATGAGTTTTTTGTGATTTTTTTTATCATCATTGGTGTATTTTATGTATGGCTCAAGACAGTTCTTCTAGTGTGTCCCAGGGAAGCCAAAAGATTGAACACGCCTGCTCTACATCATTATTTTTCATCTATTTACAGTATGCTAGATGATAGTGTTAATTTATTAGTCTACTCCTTTGGGAAACAAAGATGGTCAGTGGTTTAAGTTTTTTTAGAACCGTTTTTGAAAATATGAAGCTATGGTAATCATACCTAAGTGACATAATTAGGAAATAAAATTTCTAGAAAAAGCATGAAAGCGTTATGGTTAAAGTTCAAGAACAATGAAACGGGAGTATTGGTTATTTAAGACAACCGTCCTGCAAAGGCAATCATTTCATCACAACCATTTTGGTGAAAAAGAATAATGTGTCAGAAGGAATTTTTAGAATAATTTTCTGATTATATGGCAGTGTTAAATTTTTATTTGTATTATTTGTCATATATAAGTCTGTAAATAAAAGAGAACATGGCCTGACTTTCAGATGCATCTTTTCACACATATATTCTCCCTAGAAGGGCACTGGTGTGCTTTTCAAAAGGGGTAGCATTGCTGGCTTTCGTTGTGCTGCTATGTTTGTGTGCTAAATGAAGGCAGAAAGTGAAGCAGAGTCAACCAGGACGTTTCTAGTTTCTACATCCACATCATCTGAAATCTAGTGTTATGTCAACTAGAAATAATCCTGGGGCTAAGTATTTTAAAACTGAAAAAAAATGCATTGATAAATATATTTTTTGTTTATTTCTATAGTTTATAAAAAATTATAGTTTCTGACTTATTATAAGTTAAAACCATTTGAACATGCAGATAACTAAAAGTTCCAACTAGATGATGGTATTAATATTTAATAACTTATGATTGTGAGCCACAGTTGCCCCATTTGGCTTACTGAAAAGCAGTATTTTAAATGGAGAATAGGATTTCCATAATTCCAAGCATATAGATCTTTTAAGATAAGCACTATGCTTAGATTTGAATAGATTGTGTTTGTAGTAACAGGAACTTTAATATTTTTTTCTAATAGGAGCAAAAAAGCAATAAAAATAGGTAGTTATAATTAGTTCAAAAGAAACTTCACATGTGGTCATTGAAGGAGTAGCTGGGGTTACAGGCATGTGCCACCACGCCCAGCTAATTTTGTATTTTTAGTAGAGATGGTGTTTCACCAGGTTCATCAGGCTGGTTTCAAATGCCTGACTTCAGGTGATTCCCCCCACCCCGGCCTCCCAAAGTGCTGGGATTACAGGCGTGAGCCACCATGCATGGCTGGAAAAAGTATTCTTATGTTACTGTTTCTGAAGTTTTGAGAAACTTTAGTCGACTCAATGGATGGCGATGTACATGCAGACCACCAATTATAAATAAAATAATAGGCTCCTTTTAGCTTTTAACATTAAAACTAAATATATGTCAAAAGTAAAATTAGTGGCTCTTTTAAGTCAGGAGAAGAATGTCAGTGTCAGAAAGCCTTTACCAAAATATTTGTGTTAGGCTTAGTAATGAGTGCTTTGCACCAAAAATTAAGTTCATTTGTTTTTATATTTTTTCTTTTTTTGTTATTTCTAGAAATATTTTAATTTTAAAATGTAAACTATGACTGTGTTAAATGCCTTCATTTCTATTCCTTTTTGTTAATATTTTGCCTGACTGAGAAGATGAGTTTTTTAAAAAAAATTCTTGAATCAAGACCATTAATTAACATAGAAACAAAATAGTAATGAAAATCGACCTTGATTAGTAAAACAATTATCTAACTCCTAGTAATCCTTACCTGTCTCACTCAACATAAAATCTACATCTTTGCATCCCTCTTAGTTATAAGGAAGTGGCATTTGATCAAATTGGTCAGCATGACATTGGGTAAAATGTAACTATGTTTTGGTCTGACAGTTGAACTGATTTATTACCAAAGAAGTTGATTTTTTTAGTATGCGATATTTTACTATTTTCTGTTTATTTAGGGAAACTAAACTGACAAAGCATGAAATTAAAATTTTATTTCAAATGGAAAATGCTTAAACATGTTTTATATAACTAAAACTAAAAATATTTTTGGATTTTTAAATTAAAGAACATCTCAAGTACTTCAAATTACCTTCCCTGACAGCAGATTATATTTTACTTTATTGCTAAAATGGAGTTTGGCTGTCTTTTATGGCTATATTGATCATTTTCATTCTATTTTTTGTGCACTATTTGCATCATGCATTTCACATTTTAATAGTTGTAGTTCATGCGATGTGGATTTTCAAACAATTGTCCTATTTACATGGCAAGCCATCTGCTTAAGCAGCAGACACTTTATTTTCAGTCTTTTCAAAGCCACTTTGCCTGAAAGGCAAAGAGACAATTCAATCCAGTGTGCCAAGCTGGTCCCCTCCAGTGACCATCTATTCAAATTCACACAGGTGATCTTTTGGTGAAAGAAGGAAGGTGCACTTCAACAGCATTGTCACAGCAATGTGGAACAGATATTATAAAATACAAGACGAAACATTGCCTTCAAGGAAAAAAAGTTGATTTTTATTATTCTGTGTACATGAGTATCTGATGGTTGTAAGGTTGAGAATAAAGAGTAAAATTGGGCCAGGCTCGGTGGCTCATGCCTGTAATATCAGCACTTTGGGAGGCTGAAGGAGGTGGATCACAAGGTCAGGAGATTGAGACCATCCTGGCTAACAGGTTGAAAGCCCGTCTCTACTAAAAAATATAAAAAATTAGCCAGGCGTCATGGCAGGCGCCTGTAGTCCCAGCTACTCGGGAGGCTAAGGCAGGAGAATGGCGTGAACCTGGGAGGCGGAGCTTGCAGTGAGCTGAGATTGCACCACTGCACTCCAGCCTGGGCAACAGAGTGAGACTCTGTCTCAAAAAAAAAAAAAAAAAGTAAAGTTAGATAAAGAAAATCTTTACATTAGTAGTACCTTCTTGTTTATCTAACACATCCTGAATGGTTTTGTCAAGTGTTAGGTTGCCATATCCATCATTTGATAGACTCTGATAATCATTTTCTATCTTACCAGTGTAATTATGCAATTGACATCATCTGGAGTTGATGTCTTTGATTCTTAGGTTCTCAGACATAAAACTATTAAATTATTATTGATAAAAATGTTAGGTTTTATTTGCCTGTTTTACTACAGAACATTTGATGCCAGTAAGCTTAAGTCCCTTGAACCTTTGAAAAAAATGCTTTAGCTTTTCCTGTTTGGAAAGTCAAATTTGGTCAAAAGTAAATATAACAACAAACTTGAATATAAATTACTTTTTAATTGAATCCAAAAAATTGAATAAAACAATACATTTGATATTTACTTGAGTATATGTCAGAAATTTTCAAAAAATTCAAATAGATACAAATTTGTGACTGAGCTGAAACTTGAAAAATATACCTGCTTTCATGACAAATCATTTTGTGATCACATTAATTTTCAATTTAGCCATGTTTTATAGTAGACTTCAGTAAAAGTCAGCTGTGGTCCAAATGTAAATACTGACATATTAGAGAAGAAAATGTTGGTGATAAAGAATACAAAACAAAGCATAATAGTACTTGCCTTGATTTATTCCCAACCACCAACTCTGAGACCAAGATTTAACTGTTACATCAACATTGTCCACAGTGGAAAAGGGAGAATTTTAAAATCAAACACATCTGAGCTTGATTTGGGTCATTAGCTGTGTGTCCAGGATAAATTATACAACAACCTTGAAGTTTTAATATTTTTTTAGATGGATTCTCACTCTTGTCATCCAGGCTGGAGTGCAATGGTGCAATCTCAGCTCACTGCAACCTCCACCTCCCAGGTTCAAGCAATTCTCCTTCCTCAACCTCCCAAGTAGCTGGGATTACAGATGCCTGCCACCACGCCTGGCTAATTTTTGCATTTTTAGTAGAGACTAGGTTTCACCATGTTGGCCAGGCTGGTGGCGAACTCCTGACCTCAGATGATCTGCCCACCTCGGCCTCCCAAAGTGCTGGGATAATAGGTGTGAGCCACTGCACCCTGCCTTAATCTTTATTATTAATAGAATTAATATTTCTTCCAGGGCTGTTTTAATCATACATTGTAGCTATAAGTATTTTTCATTAAAAGTCTTGTCTAAATATGGTAAATATTTGTAAATAAGATTACCATTTAAAAATACTTTATTGTAATTGTATATGTTCTGTTATATTTAACGTTATATTTAATGCTAGTTTTTTATTTGTTGTGGGAAGTCAGGGACCCCAAACAGTGGGACCGGCTGAAGCCATGGCAAAAGAATGGGGACTGTGAAGATTTTATGGACATTTATTAGTTCCCCAAATTAATACTTTTATAATTTCCTATGCCTGTCTTTACTGCAATCTCTAAACACAAATTGTTAAGATTTCATGGACACTTATCACTTTCCCAGTCAATACCCTTGTGATTTCTTATGCCTGTCTTTACTTTAATCTCTTAATCCTGTCAGCTGAGGAGGACATATGTCACCTCAGGACCCTGTGATAACTGCGTTAACTGCACAGATTGTAGAGCCTGTGTGTTTGAACAATATGAAATCTGGACACCTTGAAAAAAGAACAGGATAACAGCAATTGTTCAGGGAATAAGAGAGATAACCTTAGACTCTGACCACTGGTGATCCAAGTGGAACAGAACCATATTTCTCTTCTTTCAAAAGCAAATGGGAGAAATATCACTGAATTATTTTTCTCAGCAAGGAACATCCCTGAGAAAGAGAATGCACCCCTGAGGGTGGGACTACAAATGGCCCCCTTGGGTGTAACCATCTTCTATGGTCAAAACTTTAGGGATGAAATAAACCCCAGTCTCCTGTAGAACTCCCAAGCTTATTAGGAAGAGGAAATTCCTGCCTAATAAATTTTGGTCAGACAGGTTGCTCTCAAACCCTGTCTCCTGATAAGATGTTGTCAATGACAATGGTGTCTGAAACTTCATTAGCAATTTTAATTTTGCCCTGGTCCTGTGGTCCTGTGATCTTGCCCTGCCTCCATTTGCCTTGTGATATTCTATTACCTTGTGAAGTATGTGATCTTTATGATCCACACCCTATTCGTACACTCCCTCCACTTTTGAAAGTCCCTAATAAAAACTTGCTGGTTTTGCGGCTTGGGGGGCATCACGGAACCTACTGACACGTGATGTCTCCCCTGGATGCCCAGCTTTAAAATTTCCCACTTTTGTACTCTCTCCCTTTATTTCTCAAACCAGTTGACACTTAGGGAAAATAGAAAAGAACCTACGTGACTATCGGGGCAGGTTCCATGATATTTATAGGCATAATAGACTAAAGGTTTCTGTATTTTGACTTTGGTAATTTTTACAAATGGTTTTTGCCTGGTACTGTTGAAGTTAGGCTTAATTTTGAACCAGTAGCTTTGTTGTTTATCTTATGTGGTTTTGGGTTCATTTGTTCTATACGTATAATGCATATTCTTTTGGGGGTAATTTGGCTTTATTTCTGCTTTTTTATTTTTACATCTGGGACTGGAGAAATTGCTAGAATTTCAATAAGTTTGATTTGAAATCAGGCAACAGAACATCCCAGAAAAGACTGAAGGTTGTATGTACTGGATAATGCCTTTAGGTGAGGTTTATACATAAAACACAGTTCAGTAAAATTTATATAATCATTACAAGTTTGTTAAATTTGAGAACAAAATGCCAATGACATATTAGGCACTTGTCTTAGTTTCTCTTTGACATCCCTGTCTTGAGAAGCTGATATTACATGAAAGTATATTGCCTAATATAATATAATATGATGTGGAACAATTACTTATGTGCTGGAAACATTCCCCTTAATAACCCTTAAATACATTTTATTCTGGCTCAATTCTTTTTTTTTTTTTTTTAATTGACGGAGTTTCGCTCTTGTTGCCCAGGCTTGAGTGCAATGGCACGACCTCGGCTCACTGCAGCCTTCGCCTCTTGGGTTGAAACTATTCTCCTGCCTCAGCCTCCCAAGTAGCTGGGATTACAGTGCCTGCCACCATGCCCAGCTAATTTTTTGTATTTTTAGTAGATATGGGGATTCACTATATTGGCCAGGCTGTTCTCAAACTATTGATCTCAGGTGATCTGCCCACCTCGGCCTCCCAAAGTCCTGGGATTACAGGCATGAGACACCACACCCGGCTGGCTCAATTCTTTTGGCACAAGTATTTTTGATCCCAGAGGCTTCTTCCCACCAAATTTAAGCCATGATGTTTTCAAGTTTGTATTTTTAGTTTTATTTGCTTGTTTTGTTTTTTACTTTCTTGGAAATGGGAGTGTTGACTTACCTTTGTAAAATGAGATCAGCCTATTTGTAGTTTTACCCAGTAAGCTTCATAGTTGACATCATTATATTGAGTTTCCCCAGGCCACCCTGAGCTTCAGAGCTGACCATCCTACCTTATTCTTCTTGGTTTCTCAGGCTCTGATGTTAAGTCCCTCTCACTTCAAATTTGAGCTTTCATAATGCCTCAGCTCAAAAGAAGCAGAAGAAAGTGTTGCCATATTTATTTGGATGAGGATCAAGACTTTACATCCATCATTCATAGTACAAAGCAACACTTTTAATAATGTGGACATGTTTCACTCAAATTAAATATAAGCAGTTTTATCAACATGCCAATATAGTCAAAATAAATAACGATCAAGTTTACCAAAATGTTCTGCTTTAGATTTTCCCAGCACAAAGATCAATATGTATGCATTGGTGGATGTTAGGGTTTTTTTGGTGTAGGTTTTTGTGTGTTTTTTATTTTTATTTTTTACAGATTTTCATCCTACTTTACACTGATGTAAATTTAACTGCCCAAGGCTTACCAGAAGCTTTATTTTACATTATTTCTACCAAAAATTCATATTCTCAAATATTAAAAGTGGTATTCTGTATTACCATTTTTCAAGTAATGTAGTCTGCATTTATTAGTACATTTCAATGTATTTTTTTTTTACATGGGGTAAGGTTATTAAAATGCCTTGCAGTTGATTTTCTAGGTAACAACGGAATCTGTTTTCTCAAACAGTAGCATGAGAATTCTTGATATACCACCTCCAGAGGTACTGAAAACAACCATATACTTTTGCTGAAATTTGGATTTTTTCATAACCTCTTCATAGGCTGAGTCATGGCAACATATGACAGCTTAATTTATTCTTCTTCTCTAAATGTTGTGGAGCCACATCCACCTGTGTAAATAACACTAACTGGGTAAAAGCTTTTTTATACTAAGCCAGAAATCATTATACCTGGTGGTTTTATTTTAAATGTATGAACAGTATTCTATAACATTCAAATAAGTAATAGAAATTTAATTCTATATATATGGAAAGAAAAGTTATACAGGCACACTGAGAATAAATTGGAATCTGGAACTGAATGCTGATTAGCATGGCCTATAAAATCAAAACCAAGTTAATTACTTCTAAGATACAATGAGGGTACAGGCATTGGATGAGGATGCTCCCATTCCATATAGGAGAATTGGACAAAACAAAGGGGCTAAAGGCCCCATGCAAGTCCAGAATCCAGCAGGGTAGTCATTGCATTTTAAAGCTCCAAAATAATCTCCTTTGACTCCATGTCTCACATTCAGGTCACACTGGTGCAAGAAGTAGGCTCTCATGGTCTTGGGCAGCTCTGCCCCGTGCCTTTGCAGGGTACAGCCCCATTCCAAGCTGCTTTCATAGGCTGGCATTGAGTGTCTGCAGCTTTTCCAGATGTACAATGCAAGCTGTTGGTTGATCTACCATTCTGGGATCTGGAGAATAGTGGCTCTTTTCTCACAGCTCCACTAGTCAGTGCCTCAGTGGGGACTGTGTGTGAAGGCTCTGACCTCACATTTCTCTTCTGCACTGCCCTAACATGGAGTTCTCCATGAGGGCTCCACCTCTGCAGCAAACTTATGCCTGTATATCCAGGCTTTTCCTTACATCCTCTAAAATCTAGGTGGAGGTTCCCAAACCCCAATTCTTGACTTCTGTGCACTCACAGGCTCAACACCACATGGAAGCCAACGAAGCTTGGGGCTTGTACCTACAGAAGCAATGGTCTGAACTGTACCTTGGCCCCTTTTAGCCACAGATGTAGTGGCTGGGACACAGGGCACCAAGTACTGAGGCTTCACAAAGCAGCAAGGCCTGGACCCGGCACACAAAGCCATTTTTTCCTCTTAGACCTCCTGGTCTGTGATGGGAAAGGCTTCTGTGAAGGTCTCTGACATGCCCTGGAGACATGTTCCCCATTGTCTTGGTGATTAACATTAGGCTCCCTGTTGCTTATGCAAATTTTTGCAGCTGGCTTGAATTTTTCCCCAAATAATGGGTTTTTCTTTTCTATAGCATTATCAGGCTGTAAATTTTCCCAAACTTTTATGCTCTGCTTCCCTTTTAAATGTAAGTTTCAATTTCAGATCATCTAAGTTCAAAGTTCCACAGCTCTTTAGGGCAGGGGGAAAATGCTGCCAGTCTCTGCTTAAGCATAGCAAGAGTGACCTTTGCTCTAGTTCCCAATAGGTTTCTCATCTCCATCTCCAGATCCAAAGTCGCTTTTACATTGCTGGGTATCTTTATAGCAGTACCCAACTCTATCAGCATGAATTTACTGTAATAGTCCATTCTCACACTGCAATAAAAATCTTCCCAAGACTAGGTAACTTATAAAACAAAAAGGTTAAATTGACTCACAGTTCCTCATAGCTGGGGAGGCCTCAGGAAACTTACAATCATGGCAAAAGGCAAAGGAGAAGCAAACTGGACCTTCTTACATGGCAGCAGGAGAAAGAACATGTGTGTGTGTGCAGAAAAAACTACCATTTATAAAACCATCAGAATTCATGAGAATTCACTCAGTATCACAAGAACAGCATGGGGGAAACCACCCCCCATGATCCAATCACTTCCCACCAGGTGTCTCCCTTAACACATGGGGATTACAATTCAAGATGAGATGTGGGCACACAAAGCCTAACCATATCTATCATAAAGACATAGTCCCAATTGCCTGATATCTCTGCTTCCTGACCCCTGTGTGAGACAGGCTATGTTTGTCCCAGAATGGCCTGTTTCTCTTGATTTGGGAGGGCAGTGTATTAAGCAACTTAAATCCTAGGCACAATTCACAATGCCAGCTCTCAATAAATTTGTTACTGTAATTTGTTTCCAGAAATGATATCAGAGCAGAAACACAAAGCAAAAGGAGCCAAAAGATAGGTAATGCTGAATGGTTGGAAAGTATATTTATGAAAGAGCTATGCTTCGCAAAAGCATCTTTGCTATGATTCAAGGGAGAAATCATTAAACACCAACTCCATCATATCCACATAAATCCAGTAATCTAGAGACTGTTGGTCTTTTTTCTTTTCTGCATTATGTTTCTGCTCTCAGTAAAGCAAGGTTTTCATTATAATATTGAAGCATTGGAAATTTAATACCAAGATATTTTCAAAACTAAGTGTTTTTTTGTTTTGTTTTTTTTTTTTTTTTGACAGAGTCTCTCTCTGTCACCCAGGCTAGAGTGCAGTGGCTTGATCTCGGCTTGCTGCAAGCTCTGCTTCCCAGGTTCATGCCATTCTCCTGCCTCAGCCTCCTGAGTAGCTGGGACTACAGGCGCCCGCCACCACAACTGGTTAATTTTTTTTTTTTTTTTTGTATTTTTAGAAGAGACGGGATTTCACCATGTTAGCCAGGATGGTCTCAACCTCCTGGCCTCATGATCTGCCTGCCTTGACCTCCCAAAGTGCGGGGATTACAGGCCTGAGCCACCACGCCCGGCCAAAACTAAGTTTTAATTATAATAGGAAAACTAATGCGAGGCCAGAAATTGTTGACTTTGTTCACAGAATACTAATTTTCCCCAGACAAAATATGCAGAGCTATGTTTCATTAATATGCAGAGCTATGTTTTATTACCAAAACACACTACTGCCAAATGCACAAAAGGAAAAAAGATATTTGTACCCTGTGCTAAAACAGATTCATTTGCGGTATTTAAATGACAAAACTGGAATTATTTCAACCCGGAAATCATTGTTTCAAATTTCCATGGTTAAAGGTTTGCTCAAGCAAATCTTAAAACACAGGTATGTATTTCAGAAGATCAACCAAATTCGAGTTTGCATCCCATTTTGGGTACATTGTAAATAGAAATTTCAAAATCTTCCTCAAAAATATCTGCATTTGTTTTCCAGATTCTTGCAACCCAAAACAAAACTTCACAGAAACTCTGCACAAGAGTTGGCAGACAGCTAAACCTTCTCCAAATTGAGTTATGGACAATAAGGTCTTGATTATAGCAGAATTGGAAGGTCTATTTACAAACCTGCACACAGTGCTGTGTAAATTGGGTGCTGGGGCACATTGATTGGCAGGGAAAGGCCAGGGAGGCAGTTGAATCCCTGGCATTTTTCAAAGCTTTTTTCCTAGGTTCATTATTCCTAGAATTTTGAAGCTTATTAAGACATTCCCTATCCTATGTCATACTCTAGAGCACTCTAGTCAGAATCCTGATAGAATACACTCTTTTTTTTTGTTTTTTAAAGTGTACATTTCAGTGATTTTTAATAATTTTTTTTATACTTTAAGTTCTAGGGTACATGTGCACAACGTGAAGGTTTGTTACATATGTATACATGGGCCATGTTTGTGTGCTGCACCCATTAACTACTCATTTACATTAGGTATATCTCCTATTGCTATCCCTCCCTTC
This sequence comes from Homo sapiens, assembly GCF_000001405.40. NCBI lineage: Eukaryota > Metazoa > Chordata > Mammalia > Primates > Hominidae > Homo > Homo sapiens. Next base: position 18,374,036 of record NC_000014.9, on the reverse strand, counting down.
TTCCCCCACCCCACAACAGGGCCTGGTGTGTGATATTCCCCTTCCTGTGTCCAAGTGTTCCCATTGTTCAATTCTCACCTATGAGTGAGGACATACAGTGTTTGGTTTTTTGTTCTTGCGATAGTTTGCTGAGAATGATGGTTTCCAGCTTCATTTGTGTCCCTACAAAGGACATGAACTCATCCTTTTTCATGGCTGCATAGCATTCCATGGTGTATATGTGCCACATTTTCTTAATCCAGTCTATCATTGATGGACATTTTTTGTTGGTTCCAAGTCTTTGCTATTGTGAATAGTGCCGCAGTAAACATATGGGTGCATGTGCCTTTATAGCAGCATGATTTGTAATCCTTTCGGTATATACCCAGTAATGGGATGGCTGGGTCAAATGGTATTTCTAGTTCTAGGTCCTTGAGGAATCACCACACTGACTTCCACAATGGTTGAACTAGTTTACAGTCCCACCAACAGTGTAAGTGTTCCTATTTCTCCACATCCTCTCCAGCACCTGTTTTTTCCTGACTCTTTAATGATCGCCATTCTAACTGGTGTGAGATGGTATCTCATTGTGATTTAGATTTGCATTTCTCTGATGACCAGTGATGATGAGCATTTTTTCATGGTCTGTTGGCTGCATAAATGTCTTCTTTTGAAAAGTGTCTGTTCATATCCTTCACCCACTTTGTGATGGGATTGTTTGTTTTTTTCTTGTAAATTTGTTTGAGTCCTTTGTAGATTCTGGATATTAGCCCTTTATCAGATGAGTAGATTGCAAAAATCTTCTCCCATTCTGTAGGTTGCCTGTTCCTTCTGATGGTAGTTTCTTTTGCTGTGCAGATGCTCTTTAGTTAATTAGATCCCATTTGTCAATTTTGGCTTTTGTTGCCATTGCTTTTGGTATTTTAGACATGAAATCCTTGCCCATGCCTATGTCCTCAATGGCATTTCCTAGGTTTTCTTCTAGGGTCTTTATGGTTTTAGATCTAACATTTAAGTCTTTGATCCATCTTGAGTTAATTTTTGTATAAGGTGTAAGAAAGGGATCCAGTTTCAGCTTTCTACCTATGGCTAGCCAGTTTTCCCAGCACCATTTATTAAATAGGGAATCCTTTCCCCATTTCTTGTTGTTGTCAGGTTTGTCAAAGATCAGATGGTTGCAGATGTGTGGTATTATTTCTGAGGGCTCTGTTCTGTTCCATTGGTCTATATCTCTGTTTTGGTACCAGTACCATGCTCTTTTGGTTACTGTAGCCTTCTAGTATAGTTTGAAGTCAGGTAGCGTGATGCCTCCAGCTTTGTTCTTTTGGCTTAGGATTGACTTGGTGATGCAGGCTCTTTTTTTGGTTCCATATGAACTTTAAAGTAGTTTTTTCCAATTCTGTGAAGAAAGTCATTGGTAGCTTGATGGGGATGGTATTGAATCTATAAATTCCCTTGGGCAGTACGGCCATTTTCACGATATTGATTCTTCCTACCCATGAGCATGGAATGTTCTTCCTTTTCTTTGTATCCTCTTTTATTTCCTTGAGCAGTGGTTTGTAGTTCTCCTTGAAGAGGTCCTTCACATCCCTTGTAAGTTGGATTCCTATTTATTTTATTCTCTTTGAAGCAATTGTGAATGGGAGTTCACTCATGATTTGGTTCTCTGTTTGTCTGTTATTGGTGTATAAGAATGCTTGTGATTTTTGCATATTGATTTTGTATCCTGAGACTTTGCTGAAGTTGCTTATCAGCTTAAGAAGATTTTGGGCTGAGACGATGGGGTTTTCTAAATATATAATTCATGTCATCTTCAAACAGGGACAATTCGACTTCCTCTTTTCCTAACTGAATAATCTTTATTTCTTTCTCCTGCCTGATTTCCCTGGCCAGAACTTCCAACACTATGTTGAATAGGAGTGGTGAGAGAGGACATCCCTGTCTTGTGCCAGATTTCAAAGGGAATGCTTCCAGTTTTTGCCCATTCAGTATGATACTGGCTGTGGGTTTGTCATAGATAGGTCTTATTATTTTGAGATACGTCCCATCAATAACTAATTTATTGAGAGTTTTTAGCATGAAGAGTTGTTGAATTTTGTCAAAGTCCTTTTCTGCATCTATTGAGATAATCATGTGGTTTTTGTCATTGATTCTGTTTATATGCTGGATTACATTTATTGATTCGCTTATGTTGAACCAGGCTTGCATGCCAGGGATGAAGCCCACTTGATCATGGTGGATAAGTTTTTTGAGGTTCTGCTGGATTTGGTTTGCCAGTATTTTATTGAGTATTTTCGCATCGATGTTCATCAGCGATATTGGTATAAAATTCTCTTTTTTTGTTGTGTCTCTGCCCGGCTTTGGTATCAGGATGATGCTGGCCTCATAAAATGAGTTAGGGAGGATTCCATCTTTTTCTATTGATTGGAATAGTTTCAGAAGGAATGGTACCAGCTCCTCTTTGTACCTCTGGTAGAATTCAGCTGTGAATCCGTCTGATCCTGGACTTTTTAGTTTATGTCCAATCAAAAGTTTATAACCAGAATATATGAAGATTTGTAGGAAATTTTTATATATTCTGGATATAAATTTTTGATTGGACCTAAACATTGCAGATATATTCTCCCAATTTAACTTGTCTTTTCTTTCTCTTAATGGTGACTTCGTTAATACCAATTTCTTAATTTTAATGTAGTTCAATTTATCAGAATTTTTCTGTGTAGTTAATGCTTATTTAATCTTGCTTAAGAAATTTCTGTCTACCCCATTGTCATAAAGGTATTCTTCTATGTTACAGAAGCTTTTTTTTTAATTTTTAACCTTTCAGATTGAGCTTTATAACCCACTTACGATTGATTTTTGTTTGTGATGCAAGACAGGGGTTAAAGTCTTTTATTCCCCCATATTGATATCCAAATTATCTACCACCATTTATTGAGAAGATTATTATTTCCTCACTGCACTGCAGTTTCACCTTTGTCATAAGTCAGGTGATGGTATAAGTATGAGTTTGTTTTTGGTTTCTCTATTTGTATGTCCTGCTAATACCATCTTATTTTAATTGTAATAAAGTTGGAGACATCTGATGGTATACATTCTTGAGCTCTGTTCTTCTTCAGAACTTTCTTGGTTCTTCTTGTCCTTTTAAATTTTCAAAAAAATTTTAAATTAGCTTGTCAATTTTTAAATTACCTGATAGGATTTTGAGTAGGATTGCATTCAACCATAATTTAATGAGTAGAAATGACTTTTTTACAATATAAAATCTTTCTATTCATAAACATTGTGTGTCTTTTTTATGTATACAATATTTATATCTGTTTTAAAAATTGTACTTTAAGTTCTGGGATACATGTGCAGTATGTACAGGTTTGTTACATAGGTATATATGTGCTGTGGTGGTTTGCTCCATCTATCAACCTGTAATCTTAGTTTTAAGCCCCATATGCATGAGGTATTTGTCCTAATGCTCTCCCTCCTCTTCCCCTCCAACCCCTGACAGGCCTCTGTGTGTGATGTTCCCCTCCGTGTGTCCATGTGTTCTCATTGTTCAACTCCCATTTATGAGTGAGAACATGCACTGTTTGGTTTTCTGTTCCTGTGTTAGTTTGCTGAGAATGGTCGCTTCCAGTTTCATCCATGTCCCTGCAAAGAACATGAACTCATGATTTTTTATGGCTGCATAACATTCCATGGTGTACTCTAATTTGTACATGTACAAATTAGAACTCAGGATTAAGAAACTTACTCAAAACCACACAATTACATGGAAATTGAACAACCTGCCTCTGAATGACTACTGGGTAAATAATGAAATTAAGGCAGAAATAACAAAGTTGTTTGAAACCAGTGAGAACAAAGAGACAACGTACCAGAATCTCTGAGACACAGCTGAAGTAGTGTTAAGAGGGAAAGTTATAGCACTAAATGCCCAAAACAGAAAGCTGGAAAGATCTAAAATCAACCCCTTAATATCACAATTAAAAAACCTAGAGAAGAGTAAACAAATTCAGAAGCTACCAGAAGACAAGAAATAACTATGATCAGAGTAGAACTGAAAGAGATAGAGACACGAAAAACCCTTCAAAATATCAGTGAATCCAGGAGATTAACAAAATAAATGGACCACTAGCTAGACTAACAGAGAAAAAAGAGAAGAATCAATTAGACATAATAAAAAATGATAAAGGGGGCTGGGTGCGATGGCTCATGCTTGTAACCCCAGCACTTTGGGAGGCCGAGGCAGGTGGATCACAAAGTCAGGAGTTCGAGACCAGCCTGGCCAATATGGTGAAACCCCATCTCTACTAAAAATACAAAAATTTGCTGGGTGTGGTGGTGTGTGCCTGTAGACCCAGCTACTAGGGAGGCTGAGGCAGAAGAATTGCTTGAACCCCGGAGGTGGAGGTTGCAGTGAGCTAACACCACTGCACTCCAGCTTGGGTGACAGAGTGAGACTCCATCTCAAAAAAAAAATGATGAAGGAGGTATCACTATTGATCCCACAGAAATATAAATTACCCTCAGAGAATACTATAAACACCTCTCTGCAAATAAACCTGAAAATCTAGAAAATACAGATACATTCCTGGCACATACACCCTCCCACAACAAAATCAGGAAGAAGTAGAATCCCCGAATAGGCCCATAACAAGTTCTGAAATTGAGGCAGTAATGAATAGCCTACCAACCAAAAAAAGCCCGGGACCAGATGGATTCATAGCTGAATTATACTGGAGATATAAAGAGGAGCGGGTACGATTCCTTCTGAAACTATTCCAAACAATGGTAAAAGGGGGACTCCTCCCTAACTCATTTTATGAGGGCAGCATCATCCTGATACCAAAACCTGACAGACACAACAAATAAAGAAAATTTCAGGCCAATAGCCCTTATAAACATTGATGTGAAAATCCTCAATAAAAGACTGGCAAAATGAATCCAGCAGCACATACAAAAGCTTATCCACCATGTGCAACACTTTTTTTAAAGGCATGCTTCAAAAAGAAACACTCCTATTTAGTCAGGAGACTATCTCTTTGAATCTAACATAGATTACAACCTTGACATGAATAAGATTCTTCTTTTATGTACTCAATAAATGTTTACTTACAGCCTATTTTATGCTGGGTAGTATTATGGGAACTGGAGAGAGAAGGTCTGTCTTTATGGAGATTGCAGTATAGTGACAGAGATAGAACATAAATGCATAAACAGTTGCACACTAAAGTGATGGATGTACTAAGCGCTATGAAGAAATATATTAGCCAAGTGTTGTGGTGCTCACCTATAGTCCCAGCTACTAGGGAGGCTGAGACAGGCGGTCTGTTTGAGCCCCAGAGTTTGAGGCTGCAGTGATCCATGATTGTGCCACTGCACCCCAGCCTTGGTGACAGAGTGAGACCGTGTCTAAATAAAAAGTATAATAATACAAAGAAAATAAGGTAGGGTAATCACATTCAGGGTGTCAGGGACTGCTACTTTAGATAGAGAGCTCTTGAACAATCTTTCTGAGGAGATGACCCTTGAGCAGGTCAGAATGGTATGACGGAGTGAGTTAAGCGAATGTCTAGAGGGCAGAGAGAAGAGACATTGTGCAGAGTCTGGATACAGACAGCGCTTGATGAGCTCAAAGATCACTACAAAGACCAGTCAGGCTGCAGGCACTGGGAGGAGGAAAGGAGAATGCACACTCTGAGGAGCAGACAAATACAGAACATAGTAAAGAGCTTGGATTTCTTTGTTAATTGTGATAGATAACCACTGGAGGATTCAGAGCTGGGAATGAAATGGTATAAGATATGTTCTTACAGGAATTGTCCAGCTTTGTGGGAGAATAGATTACAGATTACCATAAATAGAATAATAATAAATACAAAGGCAGCTTAGAAATGATTATATCTGTCCAGGGGTTGATACTGGTGGTGTTAGAACTGTGAGGTCCAGTATGATAGCCACCAGCTGCATTTAGTTTTTTACATTTAAATTAATTAAAATACCATAAAATTTATTCCTACCAGGGACTTGGGAGGAAAGGGAGAATGAGGAGTTATTGCTTAATGAGTACAGAGTTTCAGTTTGGGGTGAAAAAAAATTTTGGAAATACATAGTTTTGATGATTGCACAACATTCTGAATGTAATTAATGCCTCCGAATTTTATGTTTAAAACGGCAAAGCTTATTACATAGGCTTTACCACAATAAAACATTATAAAATTAATCACAGAACCAAAACTCTAAAACCATTTTTTAAAATTGTATAAATTTAAGGAGTGCAAGTGCAATTTTGTTACATGGGTATATGGGGTAGGAGTGAAGTCTGAGCTTTTAGTGTGTTTATCACTGGAACAATGTACACTGTATCCACTAAGTAATTTCTCATCAACCTTCCCCCTCCCACCCCTCACCCTTCTGAGTCTACAGTGTCTTATCATTTTACACTCTTTGTTCATGTTTACGCATTATTTATTTCCCATTTTTAAGTAAGAACATGCAGTATTTGATTTTATGTTTCTGAATTGGAAAACTATAAAACTCTTAGAATAAAAGATAACAATAAATCTTTATGGCCTGGGATTTGGCAATAGTTTCTTAGATATGGCACCAAAAGCACAGTGATAAAAGAAAATGTACTGAGCTTCATCAAAATTAGAAACATTTGTGTTTCAAAGAACGTAACAAAGAAAATAAAAAGACAACCAGAAAAGTGGAGAAAATGTTTGCAACTTATATATTTGATTAGAAATCTGTATCCAAAATGCACAAATAACTTTTACAACTCAACAGTAAAAAGAAAAAATACATAAAAATAGGCAAAATATTTAAATAGACACTTTTGTGAAGAAGATAAAAGAGTGTTCAATAAGTGCATGAAGAAAAGCTTAACATCACAAGCCATCAAGAAAATGCAAAATCAAACCACAAGCAGACATCACTTAACACCAACTAGTGTACCTACAATAAAAACTGACAAATGGTTGGGTGCGGTGGCTTACTCCTGTAATCCCAGCACTTTGGGAGACTGAGGTGGGCGGATCATGAGGTCAGGAGATCCAGACCATCCTGGCTAACATGGTGAAACCCCGTCTCTACTAAAAAATACAAAAAATTAGCCGGGCGTGGTGGCGGGCGACTGTAGTCCCAGCTACTCGGTAGGCTGAGGCAGGAGGATGGCGTGAACCCATGAGGCGGAGCTTGCAGAGAGCTGAGAGTGCACCACTGCACTCCAGCCTGGTGAGGACTTAGAGAAATTAGATCTTTCATACATTGCCGGTGGGACAGTAAAATAGTGCACACTTTGGAAAACTGTGAGGTGATTGCTGAAAAGGTTATGCATAGGTACCTTACGACCCAGCAATTCCATTCCTAGGTACATAACCAATAGAAATGAAAACTTATGAATGAAATATACAAAAGTTTGTACCTAAATATTATAGCGGCATTATCATAATTCTGAATAATACCTACTAAATCGAATGGATATTAAAAGTAATATTGATGAAATAAAGTTAGAAATATAAAATTTTTACCAGCGATTGATTGAGCTGATTCAAATTACTTCTTACCATCTTCAATTCCATATCTTGTATATTCGGAGAGCGAGTTCAAGTTGCTTCACTTCTAACTTTTTCTTTTGCAGCTCTTCGAATTTTCCTAATTCTTTCCTATTTTTTCTTTTAATATATTGGCATTTCTTCTCTTATTCTTGTTTTAAAGTCAATCTGCCATTAAATATACTTATCTTAAAATTCATTTTGTTAGAAAATAGAATTCACTTTGAGATCTACTTCTTCCTATATCGGTTTATTATTCCAATGAAATTCTTATATTCTTGAATACGTTTTTCCTTTCTAGTTCTGAGGTATTTTATTACTGAACTCTCTTCCAAATGACACACATGCTTGAACAATAGTGAGAAAAGAATATCTTCTAGTTAGAAAGATTCTGTTACTAGTAACTTCAACAACTGTTATGGAAAAGAATACTGGAAGCTATCCAGTAAAGTTATAAGTTGAAAATTATTATTTAAAAAATATAACAGTCAAAATTACTCCTCAATGAGGACAGATCATTTAGAGTTAACTAATTAAAATGACGTTACTTTTTATAAACAAGTTTACATATTTATTAGACATAAATATTCATCTTTATAAAATAAGGCAAGTATCCTTAAAAATAATTATAATATTAAAATCTGAGACTAGGCTAGAGAATCTAATATCTGTTATCCCATATATCTTTTGTTTCTTTTTTTAGTAATACTTTAAATGTATCTGTTGATTATTATATATTTTATCAACAAATTTTAAATCTCTTTTAGAATAAGACAGAATATAATATTTAATTTAAAATAAAAATAATAAGTATTTTTAACATAGAACTCGGAATTAATTTTATTTATTTAGGAGAGAGAGAGATGTTGAATATACTAGTCATAAATTACTCTGTATTTTTCTTTATACTCCATGCATATTAAGATTAAAAGTGTATAATTAAAGGAAAATGATTATTGGGGGTAGAGGAATGGCCGTTTCACACTCCCTTTGTTGAACTATAAATGAATATAAATTTTCTTGGGAACAATTTAGAAGTAATGAACAAAGAACTTCTTAAAAACTTCCTATAATTTAACCAAATATTTTTATATTGAAGAATTTATTCCAAGTCAATAATTAGAATGGTAGAAAAGGATTTACATGCAGTTATGCCTTGCAACACTTATTATAACACAAAAAAATTAAAAATAAAAAATTAATTTGTTAAGTAAATAATGGGGTTTCCGAATAATGGCCTTCTATGTAGCCATTAAAATTGTGATTTAAATAAATAAGTATTTAATTATCAGGAGATGTATTCACAGTTAAGAACTTGTATTATTTAAATGAATTTGACACTCTACAAGACAGAGATTTCTTCCTCCAGTTAAACCTCAGAAGGTAAGTCAGCTAGTACAAAAAGTATCCTATATACTAGTATATCATACCTCAGACTGCAGAGCTCTTGTTCTCTTTTAACTTTTTGATTCTCTATGATTTTATTTCTTTTGGTTCTGATAGTTCATTTTGTAGTACACGAAGCTTATTTTTCATTTGTTTCATTTTTGCTGTAAGTTGTTCACAGGGATTTTTTTTCTTTTTTTTCTTTTTTCTTTTTTTTTTTTTTTTTGACGGAGTCTCTCTCTGTTGCCTAGGCTGGAGTGCAGTGGTGGGTTCTCCACTCACTGCAAGCTCCACCTCCTGGGTTCACGCCATTCTCCTGCCTCAGCCTCCTGAGTAGCTGGGACTACAGGCACCCGCCAGCATGCCCGGCTAATATTTTTTTTTGTATTTTTAGTAGAGACGGGGTTTCACTGTGTTAGCAAGGATGGTCTTGATCTCCTGACCTCATGATCTGCCCGCCTTGGCCTCCCAAAGTGATGGGATTACAGGCATGAGCCACAGCACCTGGCTCACAGGGATATTTTTTAAGTTCCCTTGCTCTTTCACAAGAAAGAACTGCATCCAAGATTTTTGATAGGCTAGTTGAATCTGTCTCAAGGAGGAGATAGAAATAAAATGTATTAGTACTTTTGGGATAAAAAGAACTGCATATTTTAAAAATCACTAATTCATACACTGAACAAATATATATTGATTGCCTACCAGGTAGAAGGCATTATACTAAGCTCTGCAGATTAAACAGATAAAAGCAAAACCTCTGCCTGTGTTTAACTTAAAATGTGCTAAAAGACAAAGCTCCAGAAAAGTGACAGTTATAAATTCAGATAGATACTGTAAGAAAACAGATTGCTAAGAATTAGATCTATACTAGGCTCACGGAAAATTCCCCCGAGGGATGTATAGCTACACTGAGGAATGAAGAATGAAAAGGAAGCAGTTGAGCAAACAAGGAAGGAAAGCACTTTAGCCAGTCTGTGGCATGTGCTGAAACTCTAGTGTAGTCTGCCTCTAGCCAAGGGAGAGCAACAGGTATGATTTTTCTTCTTAGCTAAAATAACTAAAATCAAAACACACAAAATACATTAAACAATTTTTTAGACACTGTACATTAGGCAAAGAAGATAATAATCCCTGAAAAACAGAAAAAAAAACACGAAAAAAAGCAAACCTTATGAATGTTTCAGCTTCCTGCCTTGACAGAGATTCCGAGACATGACACAGGAAGAAAAAACTGAGGTGGGATCTACCAGACTCTCCTGGTTACATTGATGAAGCTTAGAGTCTGGTAAAACCAAAGCAGACAGATATTACAGAACAAACACTGAGGAGGAGAGAGAGATACAGAATCAACGGCAAGAAACCCCCTGTCAGTACTTAGCAAAATTTTGAAAATTGCATGTGAGCTAGGAAACTACCTAAGAACAAACCGGGTGGGGGTGGGGGGTGGCTTATAAAATTAGAGGAAGTCACACCTGGTGCCCACACAGTGCCAAGAAGAGCATCTATTTTTATAGATTTGACTGGGAAAACTCAGACTTCACAGGAAAATGAATACTCAGAAAGGCCTTGCCTCGGGTATGGGGAGTTAGCTCATACCATAAAAAGAAAAATGAAAAGGATCAAGCTGTTTATAAGTAACTCAACTCTATTCTACTATAAAAATCAAGAAGATAAGTTAAGCAATAGAAGATACTTTTTAAAACCAAATTGCACTTGTAGAGATACAAGTTACAATGCTGGAGATGAAAGCTGCACTGAGTAGATATGAGCAGATTAATTCACCATCATGAAATAAGAGATTCACAAATTTGAGACATTAGTGAACTATGAGCAAAGTTCCAGCAGGTAATATATAAGTCCCCAAATAGGTAGGAGGAGAGGCAGAATAAAAAATTTGAGGAAAAATTGGCTAAATACGTTTTAAACTTAACAAAAGCCATAATCCCACACATCTAGGCTGGGATCTGGCTGACAGAAAAGAAATGAAAATATGATTGTAATTTCTTATACCATCTATGATATGATATAATATTACTTGAAGGTGGATTGTGATGAGGTAAATTCATACAGTATAAATCCTAAAGCAACTACTAAGACAACAAAGAGTTATACCTAATACCAAATAAACTTATACCAAAAAAGATATGACTAAATCATAAAGAAATGTAAAACTAGATTAATAACTAAAAAAGTTATGCATATACAGATATGTAACTAAATCATAAAAATTACTAAACTAGTCTGAAGGAAGCAGAAAAAGAAAAAAAGCAAAGCAAAGAAGATCTGGGACTAATAGAAATCAAACAGTGTGATGACAGACAACTCTAATCATATCAATAATTACATTATAAATTAAACTGGCCTAAAAACCTCTGCTCAAAGGTAGATTGTCAGAATGGATAAAAAAGCAAGTCTTACTTGTATAATGTGTATAAGAAATAAACTTTAAATATAAAGACAAAAATTGGTTAAAAGATGAAACAAGATATACCACACTAACACTTGAAAAAAGAAGGCTGAGGAAGAGTGGTTGTATTAACACCAAAGTACATTTCATAGCAAAAATATTACCAGCAATAAACAAGGTCATTTTATAGTGACAAAGGGTTCAATTAATCAAGAAAACATAACTGTCCTAAATATTTATGTAATAATAACACAAATGCTTCAAAATACATGATACAAAAATTGACAGAACTGCAAGAGAAATAGACAAATTCCCAAGTATAGTCTAAAATCTCTAAACCCCTTGCTCAAGTGGTATAATAAGGAGGAAGAAAATTCTGGAAAAATGTTGGTATGTGTACTCACCAGTCTAGACATTTTCCCACTCCCTGTGTATGTATGCTGCTTTAGTTACAAAAAGTTAGGTAGGATCTTGGGAGATTTCTTCTTGGATACCAGAAATATCAATCACATCAAAAGTATACCTAACAACTCTAAAATAATTCTTTTGAACAGATTACCACTGAAGAACTTGTAAGTTAAATCCAGTAGACTTTTGAGTAATTTTACTGCTTGAAATTCTCACATTTAAAAGAAATTGGTAACATCACTTTCTCAGACTCCTCTCCTACATTTCTTTAACCACTGCTCAGCCTCCTTTACCAAGTCCTTTGACTCTTGTGAAATGTTGATATTCCCAGGGTTTTCTCAATGGCTTTCTTTTTATTCTACATCTTCTGCCTCATGGATAAGCTCATTGAGATCTATGGCTTTGCCTAATAATTATAATAAAAGTATTCTAAGCCTGCATTTTCAACCAGAGTTCTATCTCCAGCTAGAAATGCATATAATCCAATTGCCTACTGAATGTATCCCCCATGAATGTTTCATTGAACTCAACATGTGAAGAAAACTATTGGTCTGTCCCATGACTGTTTGCACTTCTCTGTTAACCTGACAAATTCCTACTCCTTCCCCATGAGCATTGTAAATCCTTGTGCACAATCTGAAAACTTATGAGTGACCTGAGATTTTATCTATCCCCTAGCTTTTTAAACTCAATTATCACTAAGCCATATTAACTGCACCTCTTTTCTGCCTTTGCTTTATCTTTCCAGTGCCACTGGAAATACGTACTTATTTATTTTATATTTATATTTCCTAGTTAAACGTGGCCCCTTAACTGATGGATTTCACAGGGAAAAAGAAACCCTACAAATTACTGTTCTTATTTTTTAAGTTAAAAAAATTAATCAAAATAAAATAATGCCAAAGAAGGACCTACATGTTTAAATGTGTAAATTGAGCTTCTGAACTTGATTCATTTTACCCTTGACGGATCAAACTTTCATAATAGATTGATACTAGGCCACAGATTGGTTACAAAAAAAAAAAAAACTATCACATGAACTACTACAAAAGCTTCATCTTTAAATCTTTTTATGTGATTATCCTCCATCTATCTTCTATATGAAGGGCCAGAAACTATAGGCCACAGGCCAAATTCAGCTTACTAAATGTTTTTTATACAGACTTTTATTGGAGTACGATCATGCCTCTTTGCCCATCCATTATCTATGACTCCTTTCACCCTACAATGGCAGAGTTGAATAGCTGTAATAGAGACCACATGGCCCAACATATTCGCTATCTGGCACTTTACAGGAAAAGTTTGCCAATCTCTTCTTTATACCGTGACCAGAATGCCCTGATACTCAAATCTAATCTTGTGACTCCCCTACTCAAACTTTTCCACTGAGTTCCTGCAGAAAACTTTACTGGCTTCCTATGCATAGTCATTACTTATTCTTTATTGCTGCAGAAACACAAGTTCATTTAGATATTTATTATTCCATTACCCCTATCCAATCTTAAAAGAAAAATCATTATTCTAAGCTAATCTCAGTAATTACATTTGGTTTCCTAGTGATTGCTATAGAAATAAGCATGTAGTATAATCCAGCAAATAAAATGTTACAGGAAGATTACTGCAAGCTTCCAAGTTTTCTTCCTATTTAAAAAAAAAATGTGAACAAAAGCAACCCTCCCAGCCTTCATATATTGTCTTTAGTTAGCATGATGATTGGAGCTGTTGCTAATTAGCCAACCAAGAAAGGAGACATGAACAAAACGCTGCTGATAGCACAACTAATAATGGGGGGAGAGAGTGAGATCCTATAATATCCCTTTACCACCAAAACAACTTTGGTTTCTATGGTTTTAGCAATTGTTAGTTAGTTCATCTAATATTTACAGCCAGAAGTATTCTGGGAATTTTTCCAGGGCCTACAGAATAAGATCTACTCATTTCTACACTATTAAAATGTGTTGCCTAAGCTTGCCTTATCTAGACATTCAAGCCATTCCCGACTACTCCCATACCACACTATTTCCACTAGGGAACCCAAAGTGCCAATAAACTCTACAAAGTTCACTCAAGCATCTTACCATTTGTACTTGCTTTTGTAGCTGTTTTTTTGTAGGACATGTGATCATCTTAGATGTTCCTTCTTCCAAAACTTCAATTTTATTAGATGTTACTCCTGCCACGCATTCAGTCTTTACAGATGTTTCTTCTTCCTCACATGTGGTCTTTGTAGGTCTTTCTTGTGGCCATGCAAATTTCTCAGATTTTTTTTCACAGGTCTTGTAATTTTCCTAGGTGTTTCTCCTGCTGACTGTTCAATCTTTCCAGATATTGTTTTCCCCAAGCATTGAACTTCGTCAGATGTTCCCTCCTCCAAGGGTGCAGCTTCGTGTTGGAAATAACTTTTTGGTGCCACAAAGAAGAGTTAGCACTCCAGTAACAAGTTAACACTCCAGCAAGGCAAATTTACTTCTATAGAAGGGTGAGTCTTGAGGATGGAGCAATGGCAAGAGCACACTGGATAAGGGAGGGGAAAGGGTTCTTATTCCTAATGCAGATAGTCCCTACTGCTGTATCTTTCCCCTATTGGCTAGAGTTGGACCGCACACTATAAGCTAATTTTGACCGGCTACTTCAAAGAGGACAGGGGTGCAAGCCAGAGTGGCAGGGTGGGTAGTTTCCTCAGGAAGGATGGTTACAGAGCAGGTGACTAAAGATGACTAAGGACAGAGCAAGTGACTAAGAATGACTAAGGACAGAGTAGGTGATAGGGACTAGGAGGGGGTCGTTTACTGAAACTAGGGGCAAGGAGGCATAAAGAATGAGGAAGTTAAACTTTAAAATGGAGAACAAAGAACAGAGAAGCTGAACATATTGACTTATTGGCTCTTTGAAGAGGAACTGAGAACTCACTGTACTTAACAATCTTCCCTCTCTTGAATTTTAAAGGACGTTAACAGGTTAAAACCTTTGAAGAGTAATTCACTGTATTCTACAATTGCCTCTTTCAATTTTTGTAGCCCTTCCTCTTCAAACCTTTTTAACATGTCTTGGCTTTTTTTTTTTCAACTTGATCCTCTAAAAGGAAAAGCCTATCTGAATAAGGTGGCGGACAGCTAAGGGAGGTTTTAGAAAGTGTTGTTTCTATAAGCCTTTGCACTAGCCCATGGATGCATGGTATGACACAACACCCAACAAGAATGAGTACACCCGTTACTGCTGTAAGAGAAGTAAGAATTGGGACTATGATTTCTTTCCATTTACTGAACCACCTTTCTAGCCATCTTGAGAAAGGGTTATTGACTCCAGAATTTTTAGCTAATTCATTGGATAAAGTAGTAAATCCTTGTAGGGCCCTTGTTATGCTCCCATTGGGGGCAGTGTTGTTTGCCCCCAATGGATAAAGGTACAACACTGAGTTTTAATCGTAACACAAACACCACTTTTTCAGCTAATATCGTATCTAGGGCCATTCTGTTTTCCCAGGCCATCTGGCTAGTGGGCCTCAATTGTTCTGCTATTCCCTTGACAACATCCCTGCTGTAATTAACAAACCACTGTTGATTATTATAGATGTAATTTATCCAATCTACGTTTTTATTGTCACCCACCAAAATATCGATTCAAATCCGGTAGCTATTTGATCTTGGGCTTAAATGTATCTGGTACTCCTCATGGGATTCCAATAGCATCTAAATAAACGTGGGAGTCAAAAGACCCATAAAGGACTTCCCTTGCTTTACGATGTTGTGGTTTCCCTTTTTCTGGTTGATGAAATGCCAGAGTGAAAAGTATAGCCAACTAGACTAGAGCAAGAGCGCTGCTCCAGTTACTTGGCAGAGTGTCCTGTAAAGGTCCACCACAATAGCACCATAAATCTGCTCAGGGGTGTATAAGGGCTGACTGATTGGTAAGCTCTTGGAAAGTCTTAAGCTTACTGCATCCTTTTAGGTCTCCAAGCAAAGCTAAGTTTCCTCCTTGTTGTGAGAGACATGAAGTGAACTTAGTGTCGGGAGACGGAAGCTGGTTGGCCCTTGGGGGCTGACCTGCAGGGTGTTGAACTTTGGGATATAGCAGAGAGAGAGATTGACATGACTTGTTATCCCAGGCTGTGGAACCCTGGAAAAGAGCTACCATACAGCCCATGCCTGGTCGACTGAAGGACCATCCTAGTGGAAAGGGGACAATCTGGGCCTCTGGTCTGCCGTGTGCACAAGCATAACAATTGCTTTTGTTTAAAGTGTGAATGGAGTATTTGATCCATTCCAACCAGGCATTCGCATCTTGATATCCTGTCTCAGTTGCCAAAGTTTGTTTTAGATCTTTAACTTCTACAATAGCTACCTTGGTCTTGTCATTAGATGGAGGAGGAACAACAGTTTCATTGTGAGAGTTTTTGGAAGAAGACTTAGGGGAAGCTGTAGACAGTAGGGGAGCAATGAAGCATATTTCAAAGATCCAATAGGGTCTATTTCTGAAAACTCAGCCCCCATATCATAAAACCAGCTTAAAGAAGGGAATTGACTTAGAGAAGGGGAAGAACTTTGAGAGTTTGAAATAATAAGCTGTATTGAGTTACACTAGTTTACCTGAAAGTTAGGGGGAGCTATATCTTTAGTAAAATGAATGTATGGTTTTAGGAATTACAACTACTGGTTGGGGCAGTCCATCCTTGCTCTCACTTGCACATAGTTGGACCAACTACGTCATAAAAGCTTTGTGTAAAGGGGGCAAGACTCCCAGTTGACACTGGGGTCTTCATTGAAACTTTCCCAGACTAAATGATCCAAATTCACTAATGTCCAGTCTGAGGACAGCCGGGAAGTACAGAGGTACTTTTCTGAAGTGGAGAGCTGTCTTTGGCCTGACAAGGCTCCACAAGGTATAACAAGGCAAGCATCAAATGTAATAGTTTCAGGCAAAATGGGTTCCATTGTCTAAGTCAATGTTTTCTATTAGCCTAAACCTGGGCACTATATTTTCAATTAAGGCCTTAACTACATTATTGGCCATCACATTTGAAAAGGGAATAGCTTTGACCCAGTGAGTAAGGTGATCTACTGTCACTAGTAAATATTTTAGACGACCTATTGAAGGCATCTCTGTGTAATCAATCTGGATACTTTAAGTCTGGACTCCTTCTACCAAGGGGTAATCTTTTTATAGTTTGTTTATTAGTTTTCTTACACACTAAGCCACTGTCTGTAACCTGTTTGGCCAGAGTATAAATCCCTATACACCCAAAAACTTTCAGAACTCTGTCACACATGGCTTGGGACCCCAGTGGGTCCCTTGATGAAGTTGGGACAAGTTTTCCCTCATAAGGGGTTTGGACAACATTTCCCTCTGCTCTGGCAGTATCCACTTTTCTTTTGAATTCTCCTTAGCACCTATTTTTATTAGTTTCTCTTTTCCGTGGAGGAGAAAATGGAGATTATGTCAGGAGGAGGAAGGTAAAGAGTTCAGTGAAAAATAGATGTTTTAAAAGAAATGGCAGCCTGTTTGCCTATGTAATCTGCTAGGTTATTTCCTAGACTGTCAAAAGAAAGACTTTTCTGGTGTCTGGGGACATGGACAGTCACTATTTCTTCTGGCAACTGAAGGTTATTCAATACTTGGGTGAATAGCTCCTTATGAACAAGATCTTGACGTTTACTATTAATGAGACCTCGTTCAGTCCAAATTTTTCCGAATCTATGAGCCACTCCAAAGGCGTACTTAGAATTGGTATAGATGGCTCCTTCCTAGTTCTGCAAGTACTTTAAGGCTCGGCTGAGTGCAAACAGCTCACAAGTTTGGGCAGTCCAATTATTAGACAATTTTCCTGCCTCAATTTCTTCAAGAGTTTCTCCATCAATTACTGAATTCCCTGTTGCATCTTTTTGCCTCAATCACCTGGGAGGAGCCATCTATAATTAAGTGTCATCCCATCCTGAAGGGAGTTTATCCTAGGTCTTGTCAGACCTTTGTATGGTAATCAGTTAAATCTAAACATGTGTGCTATCTCTTTAGATTTGGATCCCCTATTAGAAAAACTGCTGCGTTAAGAGAATTATCAGTGGTTAATGTTAAATCATCTTTTTCTAACAGAATAGTCTCATACTTTAAGATTCTTGAGTCAGTAAGCCACCTCCCTGCTTTCTGATTTAAGATATTTCTAACTTGATGGGGCTTTCTCACTGTCAATTTTCCTCCAAAGGTTAACTTCCTGATTTCTTTGACCATTAGTGCTGTAGTCACAATGGATTGGATACATTGAGGCCACCCACTAGTAACTGAATCTAAGGCTTTTGACAGGAAGGCCACGATGGGCTGCTGATGGCCTCCGTGTTCTTAAGTGAGCACTGCTAATGCTACCCCATTATCCACGTTGACAAAAAGGTGGAATGGCTTTTCTAGGGAAGGTAAGGCTAAGACAGGGGCTGTTATAAGCCTTTTTATCTGCTCTTTAACCTGATCGACTTCTTCAGAGGTCCACAGCAGGTCGTCAGTCTTCCCCTCGGCAAATTTTGGATATAGAAGTTTACTGTTTAGTGCATGTGAGTTAATCCATAAGCAGCAGTATCCAACTAACCCTAAAAATTTCCTGAGTTCTTGTTTAAGTTTGAGGCAAGGGTAGGGACACGATTCCCTCAACTCATTCAGGCCCTATTCTTCACTTCTCTGCACTTATCAACTGGTCTAAATATTTAATTTCAGGTTCTACATACTGAAGCTTTTTTCTTCGAGACTCATAACTCCTCGAACTGCAGATGGTTGAGAATATGTGTAGAGAAGCCAGCTACCTTCTCTATATCTTCACCAGATATAAGAATATCATCAACATATTGGAGCAGGCATATTTGTTTGGGATGATAACTTTTTCTAATACTTGTTCTAAAATTTGACTGAAAAGGTTAGGGGAGTCTGTGAACCCTTGGGGTAAGACTATCCATCGATAGTGTTGTTTCTACCCTGAATGGGGATCCTCCCACTCAAAAGTAAATATATCTTGCCTATCTTCTGCCAGGAGACATGCCCAAAAAGCATCCTTCAAATCTATTACAGTAAACCATTGATTATTATATGGAATCTTGCTGAGAATTGTGTAAGGATCGAGGACAATGGGGTGGGTAGATTGGACTATTTGGTTAATAGCCCTAAAGTCCTGTACCAGCCGGTATGACCCATCTGATTTCTTGACTGGCAATGTTGAGGTGTTTTAAGGGGACATAGAGGGCTCAAGAAGCCCATTTTTAATAAGACTTTCAATTATAGGTTTCAAACCTATCCTGCCCTCTAGGGGAATGGGGTATTGTTTCCTCCTTACTACTTCCTTGGGGATTTTTAGCTTGATGTGGTTGGAGGGACTCAGAGGTTCCCTCAGTTTCCTTCTTTGGATCAGACATTAGGATTAATATATTTGTCATCTGCAGTGGTGAGTAGCTTTAATGAGGTGAGGAAACCTCTTGGGCCGAGTTGCAGGCTTATGCCTAACTTCAACATTAAATCCCTCCCTAGTAAATTAGTCCCTGCTTTAGGGATTAGCAAAAACTGAATATGAGCTGATTGAGCCTGGTATCTGACTTCTGTGTTTTCTAAAATTTTTGCTTTAAATCCTTCTCCATTTACCCCACAAACCAAAAGTTCCCCTGAAGAGTAGGCAATATTAGATGGGGGGAAAACAAACAGAGGATCGAGCCACTCCTGAATTGACTAAAAATGTTATAAAATCATGCTTAGGTCCCACTTCTAGACTTATCAAGGGCTCCTGGTGGGACTCAAGATAAAAGAGACAGAACCCCTGACCCCATTATTCTTCCTCAAAAGCCATGAGTGGAAGGGCCTCTTTTTCCTTTTCTAATTTGGGACATTCTCTCTTGAAGTGGCCTGTTCTTCCACATTTTTAGTGCCTACCTTGCCCTTCCCCACTCTCAGTTCTGGGATTCTTTGATTTTACTCCCCTATACTATTTAGATGGCCTGGTAGACGAGAGCCTTGATCCTCCCAATGGAGGCTTGGGTCCTTTAAAGGAGGGTTTGGAACCTTTATAGTTTCTGGCCCACTGGAAGCTCTGTTTAGGGGTACATGGATTTGGAGCCATCTGTTGGAAGGTGAATAACATAAGTTTTGTCTTTTGTTTTTGCTTTTCTTCGTCTCTCTTCACAGATACTTTTTGAATCTCTCTGAGAAGTTCACTTGAGGTCAGTTTTCCCAATCTTCTAATTTTTGTAACTTTTTTGAAATATCTGGACAACGTTGGCTAGGCGCAGTGGCTCATGCCTGTAATCACAGCATTTTGAGAGGCCGAGGTGGATGGATCACGAGGTCAGGAGATTGAGACCATCCTGGTTAACACAGAGAAACCCCGTCTCTACTAAAAATACAAAAAAATTGCTGGGCGTAGTGGTGGGCATCTGTAGTTCCAGCTACTGGGGAGGCTAAGGCAGGAGAATGGAGCAAACCCTGGAGGCGGAGCTTGCAGTGAATCAAGATTGCACCATTGCACTCCAGCCTGCGTGACAGACAGAGACTCCATCTCAAAAAAATAAAAAGAAATATCTGGACAACTTTTTTTATTTTTTTATTTTTATTTTTTTTTTATTATTATACTTCAAGTTTAGGGTACATGTGCACAATCTGCAGGTTAGTTACATATGTATACGTGTGCCATGCTGGTGCGTTGCACCCACTAACTCGTCATCTGGCATTAAGCATATCTCCCAATGCTATCCCTCCCCCTCCCCCCACCCCACAACAGGCCTCAGAGTGTGATGTTCCCTTTCCTGTGTCCATATTATCTCATTGTTCAATTCCCACCTATGAGTGAGAATATGTGGTGTTTGGATTTTTGTTCTTGCGATAGTTTACTAAGAATGATGATTTCCAATTTCATCCATGTCCCTACAAAGGACATGAGCTCATCATTTTTTATGGCTTCATAGTATTCCATGGCGTATATGTGCCACATTTTCTTAATCCAGTCTATCACTGTTGGACATTTGGGTTGGCTCCAAGTCCTTGCTATTGTGAATAATACCGCAATAAACATACGTGTGCATGTGTCTTTATAGCAGCATGATTTATAGTCCTTTGGGTATATACCCAGTAATGGGATGGCTGGGTCAAATGGTATTTCTAGTTCTAGATCCCTGAGGAATTGCCACACTGACTCCCACAATGGTTGAACTAGTTTACAGTCCCACCAACAGTGTAAAAGTGTTCCTATTTCTCCACATCCTCTCCAGCACCTGTTGTTTCCTGACTTTTTAATGATTGTCATTCTAACTGGTGTGAGATGGTATCTCATTGTGGTTTTGATTTGCATTTCTCTGATGGCCAGTGATGGTGAGCATTTTTTCATGTTTTTTTGGCTGCATAAATGTCTTCTTTTGAGAAGTATCTGTTCATGTCCTTCACCCACTTTTTGATGGGGTTGTTTTTTTCTTGTAAATTTGTTTGAGTTCATTGTAGATTCTGGATATTAGCCCTTTGTCAGATGAGTAAGTTGCGAAAATTTTCTCCCACTGTGTAGGTTGCCTGTTCACTCTGATGGTAGTTTCTTTTGCTGTGCAGAAGCTCTTTAGTTTAATTAGATCCCATTTGTCAATTTTGTCTTTTGTTGCCATTGCTTTGGGTGTTTTAGACATGAAGTCCTTGCCCATGCCTATGTCCTGAATGATAAAGCCTAGGTTTTTTTCTAGGGTTTTTATGGTTTTAGGTCTAATGTTTAAGTCTTTAATCCATCTTGAATTGATTTTTGTGTAAGGTGTAAGGAAGGGATCCAGTTTCAGCTTTCTACATATGGCTAGCCAGTTTTCCCAGCACCATTTATTAAATAGGGAATCCTTTTCCCTATTGCTTGTTTTTCTCAGGTTTGTCAAAGATCAGATAGTTGTAGATATGCGGTGTTATTTCTGAGGGCTCTGTTCTGTTCTATTGATCTACATCTCTGTTTTAGTACCCGTACCATGCTGTTTTGGTTACTGTAGCCTTGTAGTATAGTTTGAAGTCAGGTAGTGTGATGCCTCCAGCTTTGTTCTTTTGACTTAGGATTCACTTCGTGATGTGGGCTCTTTTTTGGTTCCATATGAACTTTAAAGTAGTTTTTTCCAATTCTGTGAAGAAAGTCATTGGTAGCTTGATGGGGATGGAATTGAATCTGTAAATTACCTTGGGCAGTATGGCCATTTTCATGATATGGATTCTTCCTACCCATGAGCATGGAATGTTCTTCCATTTGTTTGTATCCTCTTTTATTTCCTTGAGCAGTGGTTTGCAGTTCTTGAAGAGGTCCTTCACATCCCTTGTAAGTTGGATTCCTAGGTATTTTATTCTCTTTGAAGCAATTGTGAATGGGAGTTCACTCATGATTTGGCTCTCTGTTTGTCTGTTATTGGTGTATAAGAATGCTTGTGATTTTTGTACATTGATTTTGTATCCTGAGACTTTGCTGAAGTTGCTTATCAGCTTAAGGAGATTTTGGGCTGAGACAATGGGGTTTTCTAGATATAAAATCATGTCATCTTCAAACAGGGACAATTTGACTTCCTCTTTTCCTAATTGAATACCCTTTATTTCCTTCTGCTGCCTAATTGCCCTGGCCAGAACTTCCAACACTATGTTGAATAGGAGTGGTGAGAGAGGGCATCCCTGTCTTGTGCCAGTTTTCAAAGGGAATGCTTCCAGTTTTTGCCCATTCAGTATGATATTGGCTGTGGGTTTGTCATAGATAGCTCTTATTATTTTGAGATACGTCCCATCAATACCTAATTTATTGAGAGTTTTTAGCATGAAGAGTTGTTGAATTTTGTCAAAGGCCTTTTCTGCATCTATTGAGATAATCATGTGGTTTTTGTCTTTGGTTCTGTTTATATGCTGGATTACATTTATTGATTTGCATATATTGAACCAGCCTTGCATCCCTGGGATGAAGCCCACTTGATCATGCTGGATAAGCTTTTTGATGTGCTGCTGGATTCGGTTTGCAAGTATTTTATTGCGGATTTTTGCATCAATGTTCATCAAGGATATTGGTCTAAAATTCTCCTTTTTGGTTGTGTCTCTGCCTGGCTTTGGTATCAGGATGATGCTGGCCTCATAAAATGAGTTAGGGAGGATTCCCTCTTTTTCTATTGATTGGAATAATTTCAGAAGGAATGGTACCAGTTCCTCCTTGTACATCTGGTAGAATTCGGCTGTGAATCCATCTGGTCTGGGACTCTTTTTGGTTGGTAAGCTATTGATTATTGCCACAATTACAGCTCCTGTTATTGGTCTATTCAGAGATTCAACTTCTTCCTGGTTTAGTCTTGGGAGAGTGTATGTGTTGAGGAATTTATACATTTCTTCTAGATTTTCTAGTTTATTTGCATAGAGGTGTTTGTAGTATTCTCTGATGGTAGTTTGTATTTCTGTGGGATTGGTGGTGATATCCCCTTTATCATTTTTATTGCATCTATTTGATTCTTCTCTCTTTTCTTCTTTACTAGTCTTGCTAGTGGTCTATCAATTTTGTTGATCCTTTCAAAAAACCAGCTCCTGGATTCATTAATTTTTTGAAGGGTTTTTTGTGTCTCTATTTCCTTCAGTTCTGCTCTGATTTTAGTTATTTCTTGCCTTCTGCTAGCTTTTGAATGTGTTTGCTCTTGCTTTTCTAGTTCTTTTAATTGTGATGTTAGGGTTTCAATCTTGGATCTTTCCTGCTTTCTCTTGTGGGCATTTAGTGCTATAAATTTCCCTCTACACACTGCTTTGAATGTGTCCCAGAGATTCTGGTATATTTTGTCTTTGTTCTCATTGGTTTCAAAGAACATCTTTATTTCTGCCTTCATTTCATTATGTACCCAGTAGTCATTCAGGAGCAGGTTGTTCAGTTTCCATGTAGTTGAGAGGTTTTGAGTGAGACTTTTAATCCTGAGTTCTAGTTTGGTTGCACTGCGGTCTGAGAGATAGTTTGTTATAATTTCTGTTCTTTTACATTTGCTGCGGAGAGCTTTACTTCCAACTATGTGGCCAATTTTGGAATAGTTGTGGTGTGGTGCTGAAAAAAATGTATATTCTGTTGATTTGAGGTGGAGAGTTCTGTAGATGTCTATTAGGTCCGCTTGGTGCAGAGCTGAGTTCAATTCCTGTGTATCCTTGTTGACTTTCTGTCTTGTTGATCTGTCTAATGTTGACAGTGGGGTGTTAAAGTCTCCCATTATTAATGTGTGGGAGTCTAAGTCTCTTTGTAGGTCACTCAGGACTTGCTTTATGAATCTGGGTGCTCCTGTATTGGGTGCATATATATTTAGGGTAGTTAGCTCTTCTTGTTGAATTGATCCCTTGACCATTATGTAATGGCCTTCTTTGTCTCTTTTGATCTTTGTTGGTTTAAAGTCTGTTTTATCAGAGACTAGGATTGCAACCCCTGCCTTTTTTTGTTTTCCATTTTCTTGGTAGATCTTCCTCCATCCTTTTATTTTGAGCCTATATGTGTCTCTGCACGTGAGATGGGTTTCCTGAATACAGCACACTGATGGGTCTTCACTCTTTATCCAATTTGCCAGTCTGTGTCTTTTAATTGGAGCATTTAGATCTGGACAACTTTTAGTGTCAAAATGGAGTTTTAACCTTCCCTGTCCCAGGGGACGTTCCAAATTTAGGCCTGCATATTGTCTCATCTGCTCCTTTAGTCTGTCTAATAATTTCACAGTCCACTCATCTCTCTCCTGTTGTATATCAAATGCTTTAGAGAGATTTTGAGTTTGGGGTACTGATTCCCTAGTTTCTTTCATTATCATTTCCCTTATGTCTTGCATGTTTTCTTGGTGAGCTGCGTTATCATTATCCCACTGGGGATCTTCGGCAGGGAATTTTTGGTCTGTGGTAGGAACGTTTTGACAAGGAGGGTGTTCATATTCCCAAACTGCCATAGCAGCCCTATGGATCAGATCATGCTTCTTTCCTCCTCCGAAAAGAGGATGCCTAGGATGGACATAAACTCGACCCAAGTGTATAACTGAGGTCCCAAGAATTGATCAACCTGATTTGCTACCTCATAAGGTTCATCTAACAATGGCTTAATTTCCTTTTTCAAACTTCAGGCTTCTGAACTGGTCAAGGGAGCCTTCACAAATACAATGGCTCCTCCTCCTTGTGGCATGTCTTTTAAGGGGAAGAGAGTTGGGGCTGACTCCTTAGGTGTGGAGAGAAAAGGGAAGTTCTGAATGTCCTATTTACATTGCTGTACCTCATGCTGGAGTCCCTTTAAGGAGAGGTATTTAGGTTGACAGGGGACAGGCTCATGGGATGATAACTCCCAAGAATTAGAGTTGTAAGGAGGAGGAACATCATGAGCAGGAGAAGGATCTGGGGTGGGATCTGGGGTGGCAGCAGCTGCCCAAGAGGAAGGGTCAGAGGCACTGAGCAGGGCAAAATGGTATAGGGGATCCCATGTGCTGGCTTTAGGTGTGGGAGTCAGCTCGTCTGACTTTTCAATTTGAGATGCTGGATCGGGTTCTTCCCTAGTTGTCTTTAAGGGAATAAAGACAGGTCCCTGTCTCCAACAAAGAGCATAGTCTAGTTCTTCTTGAGAAACCAGATTTTTAACATTAACATATTGAATTAGAAGTTGACACATTACATCCTCATTCGACCCAAACTTTGGCCAGAAGATTGAGGGTTTGAAAATGGGACATTGGGTCCAAATGAAACAGCAATATTTTATCTTCTGATGCTTTTTCTTATGTTTACTCCTCTCATTATCCTTCCAATATTTTAACATGAGACCCAGGGGACTATCAGGGGGCATGTCTTTGTTACTATCCTCTTCTTTTTTGCTCCCTGTTTTACTTGGGGCTTTTCCCATGTTAGGTCCTGGTTAGGCTCAATCCCACATGCTAGAGATTTCTTCCCTATCTTTTAACCCCACCTACTGGAGGCTCCTTGCCCCCTTCTTTTGCTTCATCCACTCTGGTTGCTTCCCTCCCAGGAATTTTAGGTCCCTCTTAGCATTGGCACCATGGTATAAAACCCACAGCAGGATCTGCCCTGAGCCCTGTGAGGATACAGTGAATTCCTCTTCAAAGGTTTTTTATTCAAATAAAAAACCGCAGATAGGACCCACTCACTCCTCACAGCAGTAATGCTTAGTATCATCCACACAAACAGCACCACAAGCAGTAGTGCTTGTGATCATTCACACATACTTTCAACCTCCAGAATATCCCGACCACCAAGGAAATACTTTGTCACCCCTGTGACATTTCTTACCTCAGTCTATGCACAGTTACCTGGTCACCACGGCATGTGAAGATCCTTTCCCCAAAGATGCTGGCCTGTTTCTTTCCACGTTGCTGAGAGCCCAGGTTTATTAATCGCACCAGTTGAGTCTTGATTCCTTACCTTTATGGCCACTGCAACAAGGCAGCGGGGTGCGCCTCCTCATGGGAGAGGACTGGACCCTCCCCCAGAGGAGAATGGGAATGCTGGGTGGGCCCCCAAATTTGTGGAAAATAAATTTTTGGTGCCACAAAGAACAGTCAGCACTCCAGCCACAAGTTTTTACAGCAAGGCAAAATTACTTCTATGGAAGAGTGGTCTTGCAGATGGAGCAATGGCAAGATCACACCGGACAAGGGAGGGGAAAGTGTTCTTATTCCTAACACAGCTAGTCCCTACTGTTGTGTCTTTTCCCTATTGGATAGGGTTGGACTGCACACTCTAAGCTAATTCAGATTGGCTATTTCAAAGAGAGTAGGGGTATAAGCTGGAGTGGCAGGGTGAGTAGTTTCAGCGGGAAAGCCAGTTACAGAGCAGGTGTCTAAGGATGACTAAGGACAGAGCAGGTGACTAAGAATGACTAAAGACAAAGCAGGGGTTAGAGGCTAGGAGGGGGTTGTTTAATGAAACTAGGGGCAAGGAGGCATAACGAACGAGGAAGTTAAACTTTAAAACGGAGAAAAAAGAACAGAGAAGCTGGACATACTGACATATTTTTTTTTTGATGAGGAACTCAGAACTCACTGTACTTAATCTTCCCCCTCTTGAATTTTAAAGGATTTTTACAGGCTAAAATCTTTGAAGATGAATTCACTGTATCCTATTCGTCAGGTGTTCTTTCCACCAAGCTTTCAGCCATGTCAGGTGTTCTTTCTGTCAAGGGTGCAGCCTCGTCAGGTGTTCCTTCAGATGTTCCTTCTGCCAAACACACAGTCTGGTTAAATTTTCCTTTGGCTAAATATCATCCTTCTGACTCTTAACTTGGAAAACTTCTACTCATTCAGCTTGCTTTCCTTAAATACTACCAAACTTTTGTTTTCTCCTTATTTTTTTTTTTTGAAACAAGAGCCTTGCTCTGTCACCCAGGCTGGAGTGCAGTGGCACGATCTCAGCAGATCACTGCAACCTCCGCCTCCTGGGTTCATGAAATTCTCCTACCTCAGCCTCCCATGTAGCTGGGATTACATATGCATGCCACCCAGGCCCAGCTAATTTTTTGTATTTAGTAGAGGTGGGATTTCACCATGTTAGGCAGGGTGGTCCCAAACCCCTGAGCTCAAGCAATCTGTCTGCCTTGGTCTTCCAAAGTGCTAGGATTACAGGAGTGAGCCACCGCTCCTGGACACTATCAAACTTTTTAAAGCTTTAATTCTTCACGTTGGATATAAAATGTCTGACACATACTGAATATGGTAATGACATAATAAGTGATAATTATAAGCTCCCAAAGGGGTTCTGGCACAGAGTAAGCACTAAATAAAGTAGTAAATAATAAAAAAGATGATAATAACAAGAAAAATGCTTAGTACCTTAATAAAGTAGTAAATAATAAAAAATGACAATGATAATAACAAGAAAGATGCTTAGTACCCTAAAGATACCTGACAGTTATTTGTTAAGTGGACAAGTGGATAAACAAATAAAAAACATAGTTAGGAAATTCTGTTGGAAAAATGCAGAAATTCAATAGAGACAGCTCTAATGTATTATGAGCACCTTAAAGACCCAGACTATGTGTATTCCATCTTGGTCTCCTGCATCTTGCAAAATCTAACTTATAGAAGTCCTTTGATAAATATGTAATAAATTAAAGAAGTACTAATACAGTTCATATTGTACAATGTATTGTGTCACATTTAGGTATCACAGTAGCACTTTTGTTATTGTGAAAACTTTTTCCACTTTTATTATAATTTGTTGAGCCTAGAATTGAGCTAGTTGGATATTTATAATGATAATATTTTGGCTAGTAGGAACAGAGTAACTTGTTGTAACAAAATTACTATTAACACACTAATTATCCAGCAGATAGAACAACATATCTTGTTCTAATGAAGTAAATATATCTTATTTGGTTTCAACTTAGAGGGAATGAAGTAGATAATAGTGAGACCTTGTTGGTACAAGACTATGTAACATAACCTGCACTTCTCAACAAAGAATTGCTTTTCTGACTTCTGCACTCGGTAGGTATCTTTGAAAAATAATCTCCTATTGGTACTGATGCACCCTCGTTAAGTTATGTTAATTCTTATTGACATTCATTTATGGTTCAAGAAAAGTATTATTGAGTTCCAAATTCTAAAGAGAGTTACTTTTTTAGTGACACAAGTCACTATGCCACACAGTTGATCTTTGAATAAGGGTTTTCACTCTAGGAGCCCACTAATAGACAGATTTTTCTTTTCCTTTGCCACTGCAAGATACCAAGACAAATCTCTCCTCTGCCTCCTCCTTATCAGCCTACTCAATGTGAAGGCAATGAGAATGAAGTCCTTTATGTATAATTCACTTCCATCTTATAAATAGTGAACATATTTCTTCCTCTTTATAACAGTTTCTTTTCTCCAGCTCACTTTATTCTAAGAATACAGTATATAGTACATATAAAATAGAAATTATGGGTTAATTGACTGCTTCTGCTTTCACCTTTTTTCAGGCTCCAGGTCAACAGTAGACAATTAGTAGAGTTTTGGAGGAGTCAAAAGAAACCGATTTTCATATAAAGCAGATTTTCAGTTGCATGGGGGGATGAGCACCCTAATTCTCATCTTGCTCAAGACTCAACTGTAATTAATTCTAATTTTCTAAATGCAAATCATTTATTGTAAAAATTAAATAAATCCCCGAAGTTCAAGACCATCCTGGGCAACATAAGGAGACCTTGTCTCTACAATAAAGAAACAAACAAAAAAATAAATTATTTTTTTATTTAACAAATAAACATTTTATATGTTTGTTTATGTTTAATAAACAAACATAAATATTTGTTTATTTAACAGTTTATTTAACTGTGTTCCTTTATAGTTTATAATATTCAAATGTTGCAGTTTTCTGTTATTAATTCCTACTTTTCATTATTAGATGTTCTATTATTTGTGGCTTGTAATTCAAGGCATCTAAGCTATTTTATAATTTGTAATAAAGTTTATTTATAAATATATTAATTCATTAAATTTGATAAGCTGATAATCCCCTATTACTGAGTTCATCAATCACACCAAGGATTCTACATTTTATAACAAGCATAAATTGTTATGACAGTTGAGAAAACATACAATATATAAACTTAAAAATTGTTTTACTTATTTATACAAAAGTATTATATAGGATATTAGGGACCACAATTAAACAAATATCTTTTCAGATAATATTTTTGAGATTATAAACCACCTACAACTAAATTCTTAATGAATTCTGAATTATAAACTAAAAAATTAAATCAAAGCTATGTATATATAAAAACACTTACATATAGATATATATGTAAACACATGCTACTTACACATTGCTTTTTTAATAGCTCTTTTGTGATCAACACTCCTATAATCTCATGGTAGCACCACCAAGAGTAGTTTACTATCAGATGTCTTACCTGGATTGTTATTTTGAGAATTTTTAGATATCTTTTGTTTGTATTCCAAAAGTTGTTGATGAATGCCTTGTATAAAAATGAAATAAATAAAATTACTATTTTAACATTGATATAAAAAACATTTACCAAATTTATTAAGTTCTTAGGGTATTTCAGACAACATTAGAGCTAACATCAGAACATTACTTTTTCCATAGTCTTTAAGTTTGTAAGCTCTATGAACTTATTAAGCTTCTAATTAAAGAAGAAAGAAAGATAAAACACTCATGAAGTGAGGGCAGTATAACTCAGTAAATTAACCAGAGGTAGCTTGATATATGGAAAATATCCTTACCTCAGAATAAGTCCTAGCATGGCTACCAACAGGTATTTTTTCTTGAACAATTTGCTTCTCTTAGACTCAATGTCTTCTAACGATGAGGATTTTAGGGCCTTATTTCACTATGTTATTATAAAGATTTAACAAGATAACATTTTAAAAATGCTTAAAATAAAAAGTGAAGCAAAAAAATAATTTGTTCTTGAACATTATTGCTGAAACTATTTTAAAATTCCCAAAAAACCCAATGTATTGGCCTGGTGCAGTGGCTCATGCTTGTGATGTAAGCACTTTGGGATGCTGAGACAGGAGGATTGCTTGAGTCCAGAAGTTCAAGACCAGCCTGGGCAACGTAGGGAGGCCATATCTTTACAAAAATTAAATTACAAAAAAAAATGTGTTTCTTCATAGGTTATAATATTCAAATATTGCAATTTCCTGTTATTAATTCCTACTTTTGGATATTAGATGTTCTATTCTATGTGGCTTGTAATTCAGAGCATCTAAGCTATTTTATATTTTGTAATGAAATTTATTTATACATATATTAAATCATTAAATCAGATAACCTAATTATACTCTATTACTGAGCTCATCAGTCACACCAAGGGCAGAAAACTAATAGATGTCAGCATCTGGCTTGGAATACTACTACTCTTAATCTACCTCCTTAAATTCTGAACCAACAAATCTTTGTTAGAATGACGCTTAGTCACTATGTTCATTTCCAGCTGCTGTGGAAGACAAAACCCTACCTTCATTTTTTGTAAGTTCCACAAAGAAGATGCAAGTTGGTATTTTCTCATTTCAGAGATCCCTACTAACAAAATATTGCACACAAGATCCTATGGGTTACCACATCTCATTTCATAGACCACCTTACATAAATAATTTTTTGTATGAAAATCACAATTGCAATACTGGGTGTCACCCATTTTGCTTTGACTCACACCGTTTCCTTGGAGCTAGTTAGAAAGTAGTAAAATGTCCTTTTGGGGACTGTAAGAAATATGCAACACTTTACAGATTTCTATGTCATCCTTGTGTGGGGACCGTGCTGATCTTCTCAACGTTGTTTCAATTTTACTATATGTACCACTGAAGCCAGCACAAATCCTTATTTTTATACGTGAAGACTGATCAGTGATGGATGAGGCTTAGCTCTGTTAAATCTAACCAACTTACTTGAGATTTAGTGAAGTCTATTGAATGGCTTCATGGTGATGCAGCATTTGAAAATATTTTAAAATCTCGAGGTAGAGATGTAAGTAGCATGGGAGATTTTTACTTTTAGGAAAAAAGAATCACTTGAGGGGACAACCACAAGTTGGAACCCACTACAACTTGGGAAAGATGACATGGGATTTTACAGAATAAGGTGAGACTTTCCACTACCTACAAAATGGTGCTACACAGGATATAAAGGGCCAGGGATATAAATCTGTTAACAAAGACAAAATGGATCTCTAATTTCTTCCTGTAACATTATTTCAACCTGACTTACAGTTTCAAACTACCACAACTAATATTGGCTAGAGAAAATAGAAAAAAGCCACTCAAAGGATAACTTACCATGAAGGTCTAGGCCATGCCCAGGCTAAGATGTGGGTTTCACATCAGGTTTTGGGTGTGAGGAGAAGGGTCAATTTGCTCACTATGTGTGTGGCTAAAGCTAAAAGTTCTAGCTGCCAGAGTAGGGTGCTGGTACTTTGGAAACAATGGCTAAGAATATGTACGTGAATTTTAAAAACATGTAGTAACTTCAAAGTCTACACCATGAAGACTGAGGGATCTGTGTTAATAAGGGCATCCTGGTCACAAAAGTCAATCATTACCAGACTGCAGGAGCAGTTTCAATGGCAACGATGCAGCAACAGAATCAATGGAAACAACAAAATGAAGAGAATGGGCATTTCCCCCCCAATCCTTCTGACTTGTACAAAAGGAATGTCTTCCTTGGACTTAGGTTCAGTTTCTTTTAAAAAATTCAAGAATGAAGGTATGGAAGACAGCCCCCTGGGGACACTATCAGGTTTTCTGCTTAAAGTGGACATTTTGAGACCCAAATAACTAATTAGGAAAACCAAAATTGTGACTTTATGTTTATCCCATGCATAGGGGTTATACTTCAAATCAAGTAGACAACATTTGCATCCCTAAAGCCCTAAAACAAAGAATCCTGGAGCCATTACTCCTTCTAAATAGTCTAGCTTTTTGCCTAGTTTCTGGCTGATGAAGTGAACTAACTCACTGTCATTCAAAAACTACCTGAAACAAACTATAAAATCTCACCTAACCTTTAAATGTAAACACTTACAGATTAAATCCACAAGCAACAGCATAACGTTCTGCAATCATTCCACACGTATCTACAGCACAGATGTCAACATTTTGCTGAAGAACCATGCCAACTATCTCTGATGATCCATGACATATGGCAAGCATGAGGGCTGTGCTAAAATAACAAAGAGATAACTTCATTATTAGGAACAGAACCAATTTAATATGTGCCTGTCAGTGTAGAATTAACCATTTACATGTATTAACAAATGTTAAGTATCTTGAGTGCTCAAGTGTTTATCCTTGTAAATCACGACCAAGGCTAAAAGGAAGGGGTGAAAATACTCATGTCTCACTGGGATATGGCATAGTAGAATTGGCTAACATAAAGTCCACTGAGGGGCAAGAAAATATGTTCTGTTCACTAATCTAAAAGAGGCAAAGTTTTAAGTGGAGAATTATCTATTTCCTCCTTAGTTTGATATAATATTTTGTACTTCAAAATTAGCTAGAAGTCGGACAAGTGAGAGCAATCTGAAGACTTAAAACAATATTAGGAATAATATTTGTCCTGAGTAGCTGGGACTATAGGCATGTGCCACCATGCTTGGCTAATTTTTATATTTTTCATAGAGATGGGGTTTTACCATGTTGGCTAGGCTGGTCTCAAATTCCTGGCCTCAGGTGATCTACCCACTTGGCCTCCCAAAGTGCTGGGATAACAGATGACAGCTATCATGCCCAGCAAATATTGCATTTTTAAAAAGTGTATGAAAAACAGAAGTTAGAAAAATACTATAAAGGTGTTAATCATTCAATATTGAATTATAAAGTAAACTAAAAATTCATACTTCTTAAAACTAATACAGAACCACTTTAGCTAATAGAAGATAATGCAACCAAAAACATCAGATTACAAATAAGAATCAGTCAATATAACAAAAGAAGAAAATCCTACTATATACTGTTCTTTATGTTGACCAGTCCAAATAATTGCTTTTCTTCCTAACTGATAATTTGTGTTGGTATTTTTCTGTATAATCTAATAATTTTAAGTAAATGTTATTAATTTAATATTTCTGACGAGTGTTATTACTCTAGCACACTACTCAAGTGTTTTTTAATAAAAAAAACTACTATACCATTTAAACTTATCAACTGAATTTGCATTTGCATTTGCATTTTTTGTCAGTAAAAATTCCACAATTTGCTCACTTCTTTTCCTTATGGCCAGTAAAAGTGGTGTGTGGCCAGCCTGTAAAACAGCAAAAACCATTTATAATTCATGAAATTACATATTTCTCAGCTGAACTGAATACCTTATATAATATCCTATGAACTTAAACAATGGAAAGTAAATCAATAGCAATCCCTTCTTTCTCACTTTTCTGTGCTTTCCCATGCACTGCACCTTCTCTTGTAAACATTCAGCCTCTGCATCACCACATTAACTCCGGTTATCTCCAAAAATCATTATATTGTAATGATTTTATTGTTTCCCATTTAAACCAGGAGCTTCTTGAGGGCAGGGGCTATATCTTTTACCTTTATATCCTTAAACCCTAAGACATAGTAGTAAATACTTTGTTTTTTACTAAATTAGTAATCTAAATTATTACCTCTAGAACAGTGTTTCTTCAACTATATTCCAAAGAATAATTACCTTACCAGAATCATTGTACCCCAACAGATTCCACCATTATCTATTTTCAAGAAATGTTATAAAACTGTGAATTAAATGTTCATTATTCAAGAAATGAATTGAACTTTACCTAATCCTTATTTGACAGTATATTTTTGTGGCAAACATTAACATTTGACAAATTAGAATTTCAGGGATGCAGTTTTGAAAGCTTCCCCCCAAAAATGGAGGTTTCCTCTGGGTGATACAAACTTACTTGATTCTCTTCTCTCAATGATCCCAAGATTCCAGATGACAATGTCAGGCACTCCTGCTCTAAATGGGTCACTAAGGAAGTGGCTCTAAATTAAAAGAGATTGGCTTCAAATAAACTTTGATTGTTTATTATTAAATGGTCCATGGGGTTTATCCTATTACCAGAAAATAGGATTTTATCTAAGCTATTAGAAATTCAGTATAAAAGACCAGGTGAGGTGGTTCATGCCTTTAATCCCAGCACTTTGCGAGGCCAAGGTGGGCAGATCACAAGGTCAGGAGATCGAGACCATCCTGGTCAACATGGTGAAACCCCATCTCTGCTAAAAATACAAAAAATTTAGCCGAGCATGGTGGCACATGCCTGCGTCCCAGCTACTCAGGAGGCTGAGACAGGACAATCGCTTGAACCAGGGAGGCAGAGGTTGCAGTGAGCCAAGATCACACCACTGCACTCCAGCCTGGTGACAGAGCGAGGCTCCGTCTCAAAAAGAAAAAAAAAGAAAAAAAGAAAAGCAATTCAGTATAAAAGTTTATTCTCAATTATAATGATACTCCTAGGATCCTAATGCATATCCACTTCTTAAAATGCAATAATCCATTTTTATTCCGGTTTCTATTGTAATTGATACTATTTTTTGGGAAAATATCAGAAGTATGAATAAAATGGCTTATTAATGAAAGTTCTAACTCATGTATATGGATTAGCAAAATAGAAGCCACTAAATCGCTTGAATTTTAAGGGACAATTCTGTGGAGAAAGATATAATATTTTCTGCAATTTGCATAACCTATTCAAATATAAACATGATTAATCTAAAAAAGCTTAAAGGCCTTCTAATAGAAAATGATTATTTATGGTTTATATGAAGAAAAATCATCATTTAAAAAATATTCTAAATTCTAGAAGACAACCCCATTACTAATGAATTAATGTAAAATATAAACTATATATTATAAACACCTGTAAACTGTCTTCAATAACTTGAAATCTTTATCAAAATATACTATGAGAGAGGAATTGATAACTGAAATATTTACAGAGGCAAAAGAGGTAAGTTGAATAAGTGATGTAACTAGGTGGACACAGTAGCAAACTGGAAACATATGCTTTATGTAAAGTTAGAATGTCTTCATAGCATACCAAACAGTCATACAGGCTCAAGAGACACCAGATTCAATCCTTTAAGAGGAAATCCAGATTTCTGCATGTCTCCTAAATTTTACATGTTGACTCAATTTATGCAGGCAAATTTTACTTTCCTGTAGTTTTATGCTAACAGGAAAGAAAAAAAAAACAGGTGGGAAAGAATATTTGAAAAATTTTACCTTTAACAAACTCAAATATTTATCATAATGCACAGAAAAGCCATACTAATAGTTCTTGTAAAAATAATAATATTTAAAGCAAAATCCTAGACAATTAAGTTTTGTCAAACTATTTTCATAGAAAAATAGGAATGTTTGAGCTTCCAAATATAAAACAATTTACATATGTTAATGTTAAAACAAATGAATTTCAAATATTTTGAAAATAACATTGGTTAACTTCTACCTTGTTCTTCACTTTGATGTCTGCACCACAGGACAGCAATTTTGCCACCACTGACAAATTCTCACCATAAACAGCATAATGGACAGCTGTGTTGACATACACATCTACAATATTTGGATCAGCACCAGAATCTATGAGAATATTTGCACAAACTTCCCTCTGGCATTGCACAGCCTGTCAGTATTAAAGCAAGAAGTAAATTATAAATTATAGGAAATATAAATAAATATTCCACAGGTTTCACAAACTAGTTATATTTCAATGAGATACATTCATTTTTATTCTATGTATTTAAACCAAATCCATCTCCTGCTGAAAGAACTGGCTACCATTTTCCTTCATCAGAGGTGTCCCGTTTTCACCATCAAGGACGTCAAGCTGGCACTTTCTATCTACCAGAAGTGTTACTACTTCTGCATGGCCATTGGCACAGGCCCAGTGTAGTGCAGTCCTACGAGAGTGAGAGGACTTTTTAGGAAAGTTTAGTCCACTGTCTCAAAGCATATAATGATTTATGTAATTGTCAACATTAAATACCATTCTCTTTCTCTGCCTTCAAAACAAATATTTAATATTCTCCTGAAGAAAGAACAACATTCATTCACTCTTCTTACTCACTACATTAATGAAAGAGTGGCCTATTTGAATAGAAAGAGCTTGGCCTTTGGATTCAGTTCAACTTGAGCTTGAATATTACTTTAAAGTCTTTCACCTTCTAGCTATCACTTAACCTTTCTGTGCCTCAATTTTCTCATCAATAAAGTGAAGATGAATACAGCAGTTATCTCACAGGACATCACTGTGATGCCTCATGAGAATCTGTGCAATGTATTTCAAAGAATTCCTAGCACATGTAACAGCTCAGTAATTGTTAGATATTGTAATTATTTCTACTACTTAACAAAGAAAACATTTTAAGTAAAATGGTACAGTTATGCCTACGTTGTGATATGTTTTAAAGGTTAGAGATAAAACTGTATTTTAATAATTCTAAGATACTCTATTTCTCATATTTTAACATCTCTGACATTGAAATGCCACTTATAAGTCATTATTTATTACAAGTACATTTTGCAGAAATTTAAAGAATCTTTTATTGGTACATAAATAAGGAGGCATCACACAATTCATGATGCCTTCCATGAAGTGGAATGCAGTATATAAAACAGGATGATGGCAGTCCTAGTCATAGGATTAACACTTAAAGAAATTTTAGCTTTTAAGAGTGCTACACAAAAGGGGAGTTGAAATAAAAACAAACTGTTAAAACAAAGTACTTCTTCAATATTTTTAAAACTTCAAGCCAAAGAAAACTTGGGATTCAAGTAGGTATGGCTCATTTTATTCCATATTTAGATTTACAGAATGTATGTAAATTCATATTTAAATTTATAGACTGCATGTAAATTAGGTATTTCCAATGATTAATATTACTATTTAAAGCTGTTATAAAATTCTGAAATCGTGGTTGGTAGTTATCTTTTACTAGTTTCTCACTTCAGAAGTGTTTTTGTTTTAAAGAAGAGAGGAAAAGCTTCAATTGAGATTCAGTCCCAGTACTCCAACTTTAAATCTCTCACTTTGCTAAGGCTGAGCAGGTAAATGTAAAATTTTTAAGGATGAAAGGATCTTGAGAGTTAATGTATCTTATACATAATAGGCATTCAGCTTACATGTGATAAACTGATTAAAAGGATAAATACAGTTGAGAAGTTCAATACCTTAAAAAAACTGCTATAAAACACTTATATTTTCTATTTTGTTTTCTTAATAATAAAAGTACACTAATCTATAATTATTGACATATATGTAATAAATCTATATATAATAAAAATATATGCCTAATAAGATGTATATGT
Organism: Homo sapiens; assembly: GCF_000001405.40. Taxonomy (NCBI): domain Eukaryota; kingdom Metazoa; phylum Chordata; class Mammalia; order Primates; family Hominidae; genus Homo; species Homo sapiens. Next base: position 18,336,557 of record NC_000014.9, on the reverse strand, counting down.
AAATCAACAAGCACAGGTAAAAAGATTGTCTTTTGAAGATGCTAAAAGTTCACAGAATATACTAATCCACAAAAAATAATAATTAAAATATGGAAGGTGAGAAATAATTTTTACTGCTGCAAAATTATATTCTTGCTCTTCTTAAAAATTATTTCTTTAATAATAAACTTTTTCTAATAGCATTGTACATGCTCAATGTGGAAATCAAAGATAATAAAAAGGAAAAACATTTTATATTAAAACCAATGCCCTCAAATAACAAATTTTATCGTATTTCATACACAATTTCAGATAACACAAGACTGTAGTCTGTGTGTATGTATAATCAAACTGAACTTTACCCTCACTTGATACACCAAAATATATTTTCAAATGTCACCTACTTCTCTACATATTTCTACCTTCAGTGGTCACATATTATCCCATGCTGTAAATTCACTGAAGTGTATTTATAAAAGCCATTATGTGGATTCTTCTTAATAATATGGTACTTACCACCAAATTGTCTACTTGAAAAGTTATCTGCAACTTAAACTTTAAATAGCATTATAAATATCACTGCTCTTTTTCCTCACAAATTTTGTAGATAGAAAACAGTATTTGATTCCTCTTTTAACTTAAATACCTTCTCTAACCAGGAAAGCTAAATATTGTTTTCTATGTGCATAGGTCACTTACAGATCTTAAGAAAATACTTTCCCAATTTTAAATTAGAAGCGAAGTACTATTTTTAGATCTGCAATTTAGATCTCTAATTTGAATTGCTCAATTTTAAATTAGAGGGTTTTTTGTTGATTTAAGTGAATTATCTATAAAATGACGATTTTTAAATCTAATATATATATACACACGCACATACATGTGCAGTAAACATTTTACAAGTATGCTGCCTTTTATTTTTTCTCATTACAGGTTAATTTAATTTTGTTTTGCTTAATTGTCCTTCAGATTGCTTGCTTCTGAGCTTCTTAGAAAGGTGTTGTCAACATAAAAATGTACCTGTGTAAATCGGCATTTATATTTTCTTCTGGTGCTTTTATCATTTTGTATATTAAAAAAATTTAATCTGTATTCCGTCAGAAATTTACCTTGTGGTATAAAAATCTAGTTTTCTCCAAAAAGTAGGCATTTCGCTTATGAAACTAATTCTTTCCCTACTAGTATAAAGTTCTAAATTCTTAGATATTTGGGTGTTTCTGGATTTTCTATTCTGTTGTATTCATTTACCTGTCTTTTCAGCTGTTATCAAATAATTTGTGATTTATTTATTTATTTTTGAGACAGAGTCTCACTCTGTCGCCCAGGCTGGAGTGCAGTGATGGAATCTCAGCTCACTGCAACCTCCACCTCCCAGTTTCAAGGGATTCTCCCTCCTCAGTCTCCCGAGTAGATGGGATTACAGGCTCCCGACATTGTGCCTGGCTAATTTTTGTATTTTTGTAGAGTCGGGGTTTCACCATATTGGCCAGGCTAGTCTTGAACTCCTGACCTCAGGTGATCCACCCGCTTTGGCCGCCCGAAATGCTGGGACTACAGGCATGAGCTACCACGCCTGGCTTTTTTTTTTTTCAAATTTTATTTATTTTATTTATTTATTTATTTATTTATTTATTATGATTATTTTGAAACAGAGTCTCGCTCTGTCACCCAGGCTGGAGTGCAGTGGTGCGATCTCGGGTCACTCCAAGCTCCACCTCCCGGGTTCACACCTTTCTCGTGCCTCAGCCTCCCAAGTAGCTGGGACTACAGCGCCCACTACCACACCCGGCTAATTTTTTGTATTTTTAGTAGAGGCTGTGTTAGCCAGGATGGTCTCCATCTCCTGACCTCGTGATCCACCCACCTCGGCCTCCCAAAGTGCTCGGATTAGAGGCATGATCCACCGCGCCTGGCCGTGGCCCATTTTGTGCAAATTAATAGCACATTTTGAAATCTAGAAGGGCAAGACTTTTCTACTCCGTTACAAAATTTTTTAAATGTCATCACAATAGTAAAAGACAGCGTGTGTAATTTTAAAAATGTTAAAATGTTGATAACTTTGTTTGGTTTATGTAAAACTGATGAAGAGCTTGCATCTTGAGAAAAATGAGTCTTCTTAAATTCGAAAACATAAACCATCTTCCCACCTCAAAGTTACCTTCTAAGGTCCCTCAGCAAAGAACATATTTACGTAGGCATTCATTGATATTGAAATGGATACTGGACTTTATCCAAAAAATTTTTAGCCAAGAAGTTAATATATTATGGGAATTATTTCATTACGCACCATTTCATAATGTATCTAACATTATCTTTTAAAACCTGTACATTAAAAGTAAAACCCTGTATGTACTTAAATTTGTAAGTTAAATCACTTTAAAATACTCTACACAGTGCTCTGTGAGAGGAAGTGGGAGTGAAGGAGAAAGCAGCTAACTAAAGTTTGGGGTTGATTTTAAGGTGGCCTGGGCCCTCCGCCCTGCAGGGCGCCCCCATCCAAGGCCTGGGGGGCCTGCCCGGGAAGAAGGTCAAGACCTCGGGGCTCAGGACGGCCGCCCCGCTGCCCGCCACTCCTCCACCTGCTCCCCTCGTCCCCAGGACCCCCAGCCCCCACTCTGAATGGGCGATCCTCCCACAGCCGCCTCCTCCTCCTGCAGCCCCGGCTCAGGCACTGTCTGGTACCTCTTCTTCGCATCTCTTATGTTCGGGTCCATTGTCGTTTTCTTCATCATCCTCTCCAGCTTCCAGGCTTGGCCCCGGGAGGCAGCTTTGTGGATCTTCCTGAGATCCCCATGGTGAATCACTTAAGAGTCATTATTGGTGTAGACCAGCTGACTGAAGGGGCTCGGGCACTCCAGGCCCGTCTGGCCCTTGACAGCGGCGGCAGAGAGCCTCTCCATGGCTGCAGCCACCTGCTAGAGAGCGCCCGCACCTCCCGCTGCTCGCCCTTTCCCAGTCCCCGCCGCTCGCCCTTGCCCTTCTTCAGTCCCCGCACCCGCCCTGACACCAGTAGAAATCTCAGTCGGGCCAAGCTTTTGGACACTCCAGCCTCACCTGGGAGAAAAGGGCTGTGCAAAACCATTAGGCAGCTGAGCAGAACCATTAGGAAACAGCGCATGCGCAACTCAGCAGACCGGGGAGACATGCGAGGCGGGAAACGGCCCTGACTGCGCTTCGCCCAGCACCGCGTGCAGGTGGCACCTGCCACTGAGGCGCTGTCAGGCTGGCGAGGCTCCCTGGAGCGGAAGGTGGGGGACTCCCTGCCACATGGCCTGCTTGGCAGAGCCGCCCCTGGCCCCTCTTCAACCTGAGATCCAGGAGCTGGGCCCTGGAGCCGGGCATCGTGCAGCCTCTGGGGTGGCGCTGAGCATCGGTTCCCGCCCTCCTGCAGCCAGGACCCAACCCCTGACTTAGGCGCCCTGGAGGCTTCTGGCCCAAGTATCCACGCTGCTGGTGGCGCTGGCAGGGTCGGGGTTGCAGCCTCTGCTGCCACGTGCCATGTTCAGGTGGCAGCTGCAGCTGAGCCCATGGTAGAGGCTACAGGGCTGGGCCCAGACCACTGAGCATCGCCGAGTACATCGCCCTTCCACCCAGGGCTCTGCTCTTCCTCGGCTCGCGCTGGCAGCGCAGGTTCGCCACCACTGGGCCCTGTAGAGCTGTGGCCATGAGGTTTTGCGGCAGGTTCCCACCCTCCTGCAACTGAGGTCCCACTGCCTGACTTAGGCGCAGTGGCGGTGTCCGACCCTGGGGTTCGCCTGCTGATGGCATGGACAGGTTCTGGGGTTGCCACCGCTGCTGCCACCTTCAAATGCCAGCTGCAGCTGAGCCCACAGTAGAGGCTGCAGGGCTGGGCCCGACGGCCTGAGGGTCGCCGTGTGGCACACGCCCTCCCACTCTAGGCCCTGCTCTTCCTTGGCTCGCGCCCTGAGCGCTGGTTTGCAGACTCTGGGGACTGTGCAGTCGCCAGTATGGGGCTGAGTGGCAGGTTCAGCGCTGCCTGGGCCCAGAGGGGAAGAGGGGAGTTTGGGGTTGCTTGGCCATATTTGCCTGTGTGCCAAGTGCAGGTAGTGGCTACAGTTCTGACAGGCACGGATGGCGGGTCCCATTTAGAGGGCTTCAAGATTGCTGAGAGCGCCAGCTGCCAGGCCTCAGGATCCCTTCCTCGTTGACCAGCATCTGGAGTATGGCGGTGGCGCTGGGTAATCTGCAGCCATCCTGGATGGGGCTGAGCTGCAGTTCTCTCCCTTGGACTGAGAGGTAAACTTGGCTGAGTAGAGCAGATGGAGAAACAGTTAAATTGAACTTATCTATAAAGACTTCCAGGCTGGGTGCAGGACCTCATGCCTGTACTTACAGCACTTTGGGAGACCGAGATGATAGGACGATCATTTGATCCCAGGAGTTTGAGACCAGCTTAGACAACACAGGGAAACTTCATCTCTATAAAAATAAAACCAGTCAGCCAGGCATGGTGGTGCATGCCTGTGGCCCCAGCTACTTGGGAGATTGGTTGTGGGAGGATCACTTGGACCCGGGAGTTCCTGGGTACAGTAAACTGATTGTGCCACAAACAAGGAATGAAAGGTCCTGTTGCTCCACATCCTTGACAGCATTTGACTTTTTCAGTCTTCTGGATTTTGGTTATTGTTTGTTTGTGCTGCTGCACTCCAAGCCTGGGCAACAGAGACTCTCTCTCTCAAAATAAATAAATAAAAGACTTCTAGTCACTATATCATATCTATGTCGAATTCTTTACACATCAAGCTTGAAGAGTTAAAACCCACAGCGCCCTCTGGTTATGTGATAGGGACCATGTGATTAAAGTGGGTGACCATGTTCTTGCCTCCAGGGGGCGCAAGTCAAGGGATGGGTCTCCAGCTGCAGGAGAGTGGGAATGGATGCTCAGCACCATCCCGGAGGCTACACAATGCCCAGCCCCAGGGCCCAACTCCTGGATCCCGGGTCATGAACAAAAACCCAAGAATTGAAGACTTGAGTGTTAGATATGCTCATTTCTACTGGGATATCATTGGTTCTACACTGTCTTAGCTTACAGAGCAAAGAAATAAATGTGTGTATACAAAGCTGTGTATAGACATAACTATAAATATTTCTAAATGTAATGTGTGTGTTAGTTCATACTGATGTCAATTCTTTTATCACATGATCATTCCGGCCTTCTCCCCTTGCTTACATGTAACCTCCCACTTTAATAGTGAGAAACCAGGCTCCTGTCATTTGTCATCCGTTTGCTTAACTGTCTAGTTCCAATATACATTTATTCTCTATCAATCTCAGAATCGCTATCCCATTTCCTGTAGGAAACAGCTATACCAAACAGATCACGTGAGTTGTTTGCAGTTTCTCTTCCTTTCAGTCTTCATGCATTTTCTTTGTTTCTTTCTTTTTTTTTTTTTTTTTTTTTTTTTGAGATGGAGTTTTGCTCTTCTTGCCCAGGCTGAGGCTGGAGTGCAGTGGCGTGATCTCAGCTCACTGCAACCTTTACCTCCCAGGTTCAAGCGATTCTCCTGCCTCAGCCTCCTGAGTAGCTGGGATTACAGGCACCTGCCATCATGCCCAGCTAATTTTTGTGTTTTTAGTAGAGACGGGGTTTCACCATTTTGGCCAGGCTGATCTCAAACTCCCAGCCTCAGGTGATCTGCCACCTTGGCCTCCTAAAGTGCTGGGATTACAGGTGTGAGCCACCACGGAAGGCTCATCCATTTTCTAAGATGCTTATGTCAGCACGTTTTTCCCACTCCCTAGAGTGAAGTGGCTCTATACATTTGTAGTACTTCAGATTTTTTATGACATTCTGCATTCCATCCCAGGATCCCCAGAACACCTACTTTGTTGTTGTTGTTGTTGTTTTAAAATTTGCATATATTAAGTGACACTCTTTGTGCTGTGAGATTCTTTGTTTTTTAACAAATGCAGGCCGGGTGCGGTGGCTCACGCCTGTAATTCCAGCACTTTGGGAAGCTGAGGCGGGCAGATCACGAGGTCAGGAGATGGAGACCATCCTGGCTACATGGTGAAACCCCGTCTCTACTAAAAATACAAAAACAAAATTAGCCGGGCGTGGTGGCAGCCACCTGTAATCCCAGCTACTTGGGAGGTTGAGGCGGGAGAATGGCGTGAACCCGGGTTGCGGAGCTTTTAGTGAGCCGAGATCGTGCCAGTGCATTCCAGCCTGGGTGACAGAGCAGACTCCGTCTCAAAAAACAAAACAAAACAAAACAAAACAAAAAAAACAAACAAACGCAATTTCATACTCTCATGTTTCCACAGTTGTGGTATCATACAGAATACTTTGACTGGTCTAAATAATGCCCACGTGCTTCACCTATTAAACCTCCTCACTGAATCTTTTGCCAGATCATTTACTTTGTTAGGAAGTAATATTCCCTTATAAGACGTATCACAGTGCTGTTTTTTTTTTTTTCCAGTCATCAATTATGAGACCTCTTGGTTTCTTCCAGTTTCGGGAATTATAAACAAACTGCTATATATATATTCATGTGCCAGTTTTGGTGTGGACATAGTTTTCAAATAAGGTGGATAAACACCTAAAAACACATTTGCAGCCAGGCGCGGTGGCTCACGCCTGTAATCCTAGCACTTTGGGAGGTTGAGGCGGTCGCATTGCCTGAGCTCAGGAGTTGGACACCAGCCTGGGCCACATGGTAAAATTTCCCAAATCAACAGGTTATACTGTCTCTAGTAAAATATAAAAAAAAAAAAAATTAGCCAGGCATGGTGGTAGGTGCCTGTAGTTCCAGCTACTCTGGAGGCTAAGGCAGGAGAATTGTTTGAACCCAGGAGGTGAAGGTTGCAGTATCCTTCTATTGCACCACTGCACTCCAGCCTGGGTGACAGAGCAAGACTATCTCAAAACAAACAAAAAAACCACAATTGCTATATTATATGTAAGACTTTTTTTTTTACATATAGTATAGCAACTATGGGCATAAGAAATTGTCCATCTGTCTTCCAAAGTGGTGGTTTCATTTTGCAAGTGGTGAAAGAAAAAAAACAAAAAACAAAATTCTTCTTGCTCCTGGTTTTTGGGAAAAAGCATCCCATTTCTCATCATTAAGTATGATAATTTTAGGGGTTTGGTAGATGTTCTTTGTCAAGTTAAGAAAATTCACCTCAATTCCTAGTTTTCTGAGAGTTTCTCAAATTATAGATGGGTGATAGATTTTGCCATAAGCTTTTTCTACATCAGTTGATACAGTCACATGATTTTTCTTCCTGCAGATTTAGGAAATTCTGCAGATAATTTTCCAATATTGAATCAGTCTTGCATACAGTCTTACCTAGAATAAATACATAGTTAGATTCAATTGTCTAGTATTTTGTGAAGGATTATTGGATCTTTGTTCATGAGAGATACTGATGTATTGATTTTATTTCATGTTATGTCTATTGGATTTGGTAAGAGGGTAATATTTACCTCATAGAATAAGTTAGGAAGTGTTCTCTCTAATTCCATTTTCTTGAAAAGTCTGTGGAAAATTGGTATAATTTCTCCTTTAAATGCTTGATAGAATTCACTACTAAAGCCATTTGGGCCTGGAACCATTGGTGGGGGGGCAGGTTATTAACTATTTATTCAATTCCTTTTATAGCTATAAAAGTACTCATGCTATCTATTTTTTCTTTTGTGAGTATTGGCATATTGTGTCTTTCAAGGTATTTGTCCATTTTATATAGGCTATTGAACTTGTGAGTATAGAGTTTTTAATATAGTAAATATATTATCCTTTTAATGTCCACAAAATCAGTAGTCATAACCCATACCCCTCTTTCACTTCCAATATTTGTAAGTTGTGCATTCTCTCTTTTTTTCTTTATTAGTTTGTCTAAATGTTAGCAAGTTTATGGATCTTTTCAAAGAAACAGCTTTCTGTTTCATTGATTTTCTCTATTGTTTTCCTGCTTTCTATTTTACTGATATCTGCTATACTTTATATATTTTTTCCCTTGTTACTTACTTTGGATTTTCTTTTTCTAGTTTCTTAAGGCAGAAGCTTATTGATTTTATCTCTTTTTTCATAATAATATATATTTAATGCTATAAATTTAGGTACTAGTTCTACTGTATCTCATATATTTTAATAAGTTGTGATTCCATTTCCATTTAATTCCAAATATTTTAATTACTCTTTAGTCTTCTTTTGGGATGCACTTAGATGTTTTGTTAAGTCTTCAAATATTTGAAAAATTTTTCAGTTCTTCCTGCTATTTATTTCTACTTTAATTTTTATTGTGGTCTCGGTGTGTACTTTGTATGAACTTTGTTCTTTGAAAAATTTTAAGACGTTTATGGCCCATAATGCAGTGTGTCTTGTACAAACTAGAGAAGAATGTGCATTCTACTTTTGTTGAAGTAGAATATAAACATTAATTATATTCATTTATTTTTATTTCATTTTATTTTATTTTGAGATAGAACCTCACTCTGTCAACCAGGCTGGAGTGCAGTGGTGGTCTTGGCACACTGCAACCTCCACATCCCAGGTTAAAGTGACTCTCCCACCTCAGCCCAGAGTAGCTGGGATTACAGATGTGTGCCACAACACCCAGCTAACTTTGATATTTTTAATAGAGATGGTGTTTCATCATGTTGGTCAGGCTGGCCTCAGGTGGTCCACCCACCTTGGCATCCCAAAGTGCTGGGATTACTGGCATGAGCCACCGTGCCTGACCTGCCTCCTCTTATTTTAATTGAGCATCTTCTATGATTGCATTTTTGTCTCATCACCTCATGAGATGTGATCTCATCACTTTTCTTTTAAAAACTTGTAGTGGTTTTCTTAGAATTGATTATATGCATTTTAAGTCTATCTTTAAATTAATTAGAATTGATTATATACATTTTAGTTCTATCTTCAAATAAAATTGTTACTTCACATGTAGTGTAGGTATCTCATAAAAATACCACCAGATTGTACCTCCTGTACCTTATGACATTGCTATTGTTCATTTCATCTATCCTCATTCTATAATTACCCATTTTTTGTTACTAAACAGTTATCTTATGGATCAATAAGAATAAAAAAAGTTTTTAACTTTAATTTATTCTTTTTCATTTATTTCTTTATTGTGTATATGAATTTCTCACTTGCATCATTTTCTCTCCCCTTGAAGAACTTCCTTTAGTATTTCTTGCAAGACAGGTCAGCTGACAATCACTTAAATTTTGTTTTTCTGAGAAAGTTTTCTATTTGCTTTCTTTTTAAAAGGAAATTTCAATATATAGAATTGCTTTATCCCCCTAAAGTCATATGCTGTTGAATATATTTTCAAATACTTATTTGCCATTTTTATATTTCCTTTGGTGGCTTATCCATTTATATTGTTTCCCCATTTTTAACTGAATTGTTTGCTTTCTTGTGAAATTTGAAGGGTTTCTTGTGTATTTTGGATATAGCCTTTATTACAGATTAGTGGATAAAGAAAGTGTGGCATATACATACAATGGAATATTATTCATCCTGAGAAAAGAAGGAAATCCTAAAATCTGTGATAACATTGATGGACTGAGAGAACTTAATGCTAAGTAAAATAAGCGAGACACAGAAAGACAAATATACTGCATAATCTCACTTATCTGTGAAATCTAAAAAATTTAAACTCATTAGATGTTAGGGATTAGAAGGTAGGAAAAATGGGGATATGCTTTTAGTTAAAAGATGAATAAATTCTGGATACCTAACATATGTAGCATAGTAGTTACAGCTGATAAGAATGTATTGTATACTTGAATTTTGCTAACAGGGTAGGAATACGTATTTCCATACAAGCACACATAGACACACACAGAGAAAGTCTAACTTTGTAAGTTGATGAAAATGTTAATTGACTGTGGCTATTATTTCACAATGTATACAAACATCACATCACATCATATTATATAACTTAAATATGTACAATTTTTATTTATCAATCATACTTCAATGAAGCTAGAAAGAAAAATAAGAAAAAAATTTATACAGCATAATTATGGAAGGGATACATTTTCTAACAATTATGATATGTTTTCCTATGCTTATTTTAGAATATTGTATTGTTATTGGGATTATTGCCACCATTTTCTTCTCTGCACCTGTATTCCTGTCTTTATCACAGTGACCAAATCTCCTCTGATAACACTTAATTTTTGCCCATCTGAAATTATATCTTAAATTCCAAAAAGTAAATGTTTTCTGATTTTTAGCGAAAAATAAGTATTTTTTAGATTTCCTAGGTGACCTCTAGAAAAACTGTGACAATTTTTGCCTTATAAAATGAGTGAGGCTAAAATAAATTGGACTTCTTTGGTGTGCCCCATATTTCTTCATTAGTTCCACACATCTGCTTGAGTTCCATGAGGACAATTCTAAAGGGCTCAGCTTTCTCAGTTCATTTTACATAATCTTACATATTAAGATGAATGGTGGTGGGGTGCGTTGGCTCACGCCTCTAATCCCAGCACTTTGGGAGGCTGAGATGGGCAGATCAGGTCAAGAGATGGAGACCATCATGGCCAACATGGTGAAACCCCATCTCTACTAAAAATACAAAAACTAGCTGGGCATCGTGGTGCATGCCTGTAGTCTCATCTATTCAGGAGGCTGAGGCAGGAGAATCACTTGAACCCAGGAGGCAGAGGTTGCAGTGAGCCAAGATCGCACCACTGCACTCCAGCCTGGTGACACAGGGATACTCTGTCTCAAAAAAAAAAAAAAAAAAAAAAAAAAAGAGGTGAATGGTTTAGGAACTGTATACATTTAACTAATAGATTAGAGACTGTAATAGGAAATTGGAGCGGTGTATGCCCCCAGGTGAAACATTGGTCAAGTCTTTATGAGATAGTATTGAACCTAATGCAGAATTTTATTCTTCTCCATTTTTATATTATTGTTTACTATATCAATTAAATAGCCATTTAGTTGCATCTCTAGGTGGTTTTTGTTTTCCTCTGACACTTACTTGAATGTTCTCCTATAAAGTACTGAGCATAACAACTTACTTTTAAATCTCATTGTTTTAAGGATATATCTTTTTGCCTCATTGGTAGATAATTTTATCAAAGCAAAAAACTGACTCAACATCCAGTAGAAGGAGTATTAATTACACAGTTTCTTTTTCTATCTCTGATCCTCAATTTTATATACAACACCTTGTAAGTGAAATACATCATTCAAACACTGTCTAATTTATATTTTTCTCTGAGAATTCAGAACAATATATTTGTACTTACTCTGCATGCTTGTAGGACAACATATTATTATTGTAGGACTTTCTCCTTAGTTCAGCTAAAAGCTGTATTCTTGTCACACAGCCATGAAATATTAGGCTCACAGACGCTTTGAAGGGTGAGAAAAATGGAATTTATTGGCGAATGGGAAAAAAGGGGAAACAGAGACTGTCAGTAAAGTGAGTCCTGCTACCCAGCTTCCTGCCTCATAGATTGAATCCCAGCCTCCGCCCTGGAACAGAAGAGGCCAGGCTCCTCCCCGCTGCAAACTTCCAGAGGCTCCACCTCAGTGTGCACTCCTGCCAGTGTGCAAGCCGGTCGGAGGTTCTGCCGGGGAGCCGTTTTTACTTGCTGTCTCATTATTTGCATAGTTTCATCAAGAATCTGTCCTTTTTTCCTGGGATTTAATTGGACATCCAAGCCATACATGTGTTTATAAGGTATGAAAACACCTATTAAGGAACAAGATTGTACTTTAAATGTTGAGCCAATACCTACTAAGTCCTCCACCTGTTCTATGGTTCCAGCCTCACATTGGTAAGGGAGTGTTTTCAGAAGGCCATGAATCTTACATTTTAGAACCTGGTGGAGGGAAGACTTCACCTATTTGTTTAACTCCTCTTTCTGAAGCTACATAAATAATCAGGGTCAAATATAGTCAGATAAACTTTTTCTTTTTTTGATTAAGAATAACACTTGGAGGCCGAGCCGGTGGGTCACGCCTGTAATTCCAGCATTTTGGGAGGCTGAGGTGGGTGGATCACGTGGTCAGGAGATCGAGACCATCCTGCCCAACATGGTGAAACCCCATCTCTACTAAAAATACAAAAAATTAGCCGGGCATGGTGGCGGGCGCCTATAGTCCCACCTACTCTGGAGGCTGAGGCAGGAGAATGGCGTGAACCCAGAGGCGGAGCCTGTAGTGAGCCGAGATCATACCACTGCACTCCAGCCTGGGAGACAGAGCCAGACTCTGTCTCAAGAAAAAAAAAAAAAAAGAATAACACTTGGAGATTATTGACATGAAAATAAGGAACTGAGATAGTTATGGATTAGCACTAACAGAGGACATATTTGTGATAAGGAATGCTAAGGAAGAGTATCTAAAACTCTTACATAAGACGTGTATTTTTAGTGTAATATTACATTATTAAAAGCTATCCTCTAAAAGGTTAACCCAAAGATTACTTCATTTTCTTTTGATTTGGCCATGTATTAGTTGATTTGATCCTAGACACTATGCGATTATGTAATAACTTGTAGGTTTCTCTCTAGTAGAAAAAGACAATGCCAGACTTTATGGATCTGTTTCCATGAAGGATATTTACCAGTTTTAATTCATAACTGATAGGAGTTTATCAAGCCTCAGAAAAACTGCTCTTGAGTGCATTTACTGTACACATTTTTTGTGAATTACTGCATTATATCACATTTCCAATTCCCTTTTTCTAATAAGTTTAATAAAGTTTAAATTTTATGCTTAATACCCAAAAATACAGTGCAATTGGGAATACATCCTTTTTTCTTTTAATTTTCTTTTTAAAATTGTGGTAAAATACACATACTGTAAAATTTATCACTATAATGAATTTTAAATGAACAGTTCAGAGGGTATTACATTCACCAAATTGCACAACCTTTACCACCATCTATTTCCAGAACTCTTTAATCATCCCATATAGAAACTCTGTACCCATTAAACAATAACTTCTCACCCACAGTAGTCCATGGTAATGATTATTCTTTCTGTCTCTACGATTTGCTTATTCTAAGTACTTCAAGCAATATTTATCTTTTTGTGTCTGGCTTATTTCACTAAGCATAATGTTTTCAAAGTTTACATATGTTGTAGTCATTGAAATTCTGTAGTGTATATTAGAATTTCATTCCTTAATAAGGCTGAATAAGTTTCCATTATGTGAATATGGTATATTCTGTTTATTCTTTCATTTATTGATGAGCATTTGAGTTGCTTCCTGCTTTTGGTTACTGTAAATCATGGTACTGTGAACATTGGTGGTCAATATCTGTTGGAGTCTCTATTTGCAACTACTTTGGGCATGTATATAGGCATAGAATTGCTGGATCACATAGTAGTTCTATGTTTAACCTTTGAGGAGCCACCTAACTGTTGTCCACTGAAGCTAAACCATTTTACATTCCCACCAGCAATGCACAAGGGTTCCCATTGACTCTAAATCCTCACTAACACTTGTTATTTTCTGGGGTTTCTTTTTTGTAATCATCCTAATAGGTGTGAATTGATATCTCATCATTAGTTTTATTTTTGTTTTTCTAATGCTAGTGATATTGAGCCTCTTTTCATGTGCTTGTTGGCCATTCGTACATCTTCTTTAGATAATTATCTATTCAAGTCCTTTGCCTATTTAAAACATTGAACCATCAATTATTTGTTGTTGTTGAGTTGCTGGAGTTCTTTATTCTATTATACATATTATATCCACATATACCAATGTCATATCACATATGGGATTTGCAGACATCTTCTCCCATTCTTTGAGTTGTTGTTCCACTGTCCTGAGGGTGATTATTTTTTTTTTTTTTTGAGACGGAGTCTCGCTCTGTGGTCCAGGCTGAAGTGCAGTGGCACCATCTCAGCTCACTGCAACCTCTGCCTCCCAGCTTCAAGTGATTCTTTTGCCTCAGCCTCCCAAGTAGCTGGGATTACAGGTGCACACCACCATGCCCAGCTAATTTTTGTATTTTTAGTAGAAATGGGGTTTCACCATATTGGCCAGGCTGATCTCGAACTCCAGACCTTGTGATCCACCTGCCTCAGCCTCCCAAAGTGCTGGGGTTACAGGCGTGAGCCACCACACCTGGCCACCCGTGACTTTTAATGCACAGAACTTTTACTTTTGATGAAACTAATTTCTTTGTTATTTTCTTCATTCCCTGTACCTTTGATGTCACATCTAAGAAATCATTGCTAAATCTAACATAAAGAAAATTTTCTCCTATTTTTTTCTAAGAGTTTAAGGGTTGTAGGTGTTACTTTTAAGTCTTTGATCTATTTTAGTTTATTTTTGTATATTATGTAAGTTAAGGGCCCAAACTTTATATTTTGCCTGTGGATATCCAATTTTCCCAGTACTCTTTGTTGTTATTAATCAATTTTGCTTCTTTTTTTTTTTTTGAGATGGAGTTTCACTCTGTCACCCAGGCTGGAGTGCAGTGGTGCAATATTGGATCACTGCAAGTTCCGCCTCCTGGGTTCATGCCATTCTCCTACCTCAGCGTCCTGAGTATCTGGGACTACAGGCCACCACGCCCGGCTAATTTTGGTTTTGTATTTTTAGTAGAGACCGGGTTTCACCGTGTTAGTCAGGATGGCCTCGATTTCCTGACCTTGTGATCTGCCCACCTCAGCCTCCCAAAGTGCTGGGATTACAGCTGTGAGCCACCGCTCCTGGCCCAGTTTTGCTTCTAACATAGTTGTCTTATTCTAACATTTCTTGTTTTGGGGAAAAAAATCTGTAATTACTTTTTTTTTGCTTGTTCTTGGAACCAGCTTTCCCACCTACTGATTTCCTCAGGAATAAGTGAAATAAATTTTGACAGAGGTTTATTTTGTATTTGTATAAGAGTTTTATTATTAAGCTCATTATTCAGTTTTATTATTAAGCAGAGAAAATTATACTCTGGCCATGCAAATATCCACAGTGTATTACTTTCAGAATGTCCTGATTTTTTCTCTTGCTATAAAGAAGACAGGGAATTTACAGTAATACATCTGAGTGTTAGAGTCAGGCAGCCATTGTCAATTGGTGCATCAGAACTGTACATAGATTTTGAAACAAAGAACAGTTACAATGACAATTTCTTATAGACAGAGAATGTAAGCCCATGCTTTATTTGCTCCTCTCCCAATGAACATAACTAGGCCTATTTTTTATCCTGATACTTCTCTAAAGGGGCCTTTAATTTGTTCTGTGACAGATAACTTGATGGATCAAGTGGGTTAAAAATAAAATAATAATGTGAAACACCCAGTTATGTCCTTGTAAGCATTATATGTTGACATTTGCAGTAGGCTTTCATGAAATGATTTAAGGCTTTGAGACCCTGAAACAAACTTAGAACCACTATATTAATAGTGGCTACAAACTATTATTAGCCAGAAGGGTTTTGAAAGATTATGTTGATTTCTTAGATATATTTGTGTCAGAGAGGCAACTGCAAGTTAATCTCTACTCTCAGTGAAAGGCTTAATGTGGACATCTATAAAATCCCCAGTGGTCATAACTTGCAGGAATCTCTCCAGAGGGACAGCATCATACCCAGTAGGGTGACATTAATTTCCTCAGGACAGATCAGCAATTAAAAAAAAAGACAGAACTAGGCTTGCATCAACTTCTCCCTTAAAATTGTATTTCTCCTCTAAATGAAAGCACATTTTTAAGAAAGAAAGATGTGTAAGATATAGAAATATTAAAGTAAGGGCTACAGTACATATAATACAAAGCAAATGAAGAGAGGCGGCTAAATATCAAAGTTGTGGGTGGTGAGTTATACTCAGCCACTTCATTTGACAGTTTAAGAAGTCAGATCTAAGTCAAAAGAAGTAACTTCTATCTCTTTGGAAGTGAAGATGGTATCAGTGTTCTCTAGATGTTTAAAATATTTTAAGACATCTGTTCACATAAAAATTGTTAATCATCTTGCTTGCTATGGGCTTTTTAAAAAGAATTAAGGGCTACTCCTTTTAGTAAACATGTAACTCTCTACATTGAAAAAATCCAATTGTAAATTGACTTGCTATCCTTTCCTGCAATACAAACATTAGCCCCAAATGCAAAAGTGGCATGGATTCAGAGTAAATTAAGTGAAAATATGAAGGGGTGGCCAGCCCCTCCACATCTGTGGGTATTTCTAGTCAGGTGGGATGAGAGACTGAGAAAAGAAATAAGACACAGAGTCAAAGTTTAGAGAAAGAAAAGTGGGCCCAGGGGACTGGCACTCAGCATACCAAGGATGTGCACCAGCACCAGACTCTGAGCTCCCTCAGTTTTTATTGAATATTATTTTCATTATCTCAGCAAGAGGAATGCGGTAGGAGAGCAGGGTGATAACAGGGAGAAGGTCAGCAAAAAAACATGTGAGCAGAAGAATCTGTGTCATAATTAAGTTCAAGGGGAGGTACTATGCCTGGATGTGCACGTAGGCCAGATTTATGTTTCTCTGCCCAAACATCTCAGTGGAGTAAAGAACAATAAAGCAGCATTGCTGCCAACATGTCTTGCCTCCCGCCATAGGGTGGTTTTTCTCCTATCTCAGAATTGAACAAATGTAAAATCGGGTATTATACTGAGACATTCAGTTCCCTGGGGCAGACAGGAGACAGCGGCCTTCCTCTATCTCAACTGCAAGAGGCTTTCCTGTTTTACTAATCCACCTCAGCACAGACCCTTTACGGGTGTTGGGCTGGGGGATGGTCAGGTCTTTCTCATCCCATGAGGCCATATTTCAGACTATCACATGGGGAGAAAACTTGGACAATACCCGGCTTTCCAGGGCAGAGGTCCCTGCGGCTTTCTGCAGTGCATTGTGCCCCTGGTTTATCGAGACTAGAGAATGGCGATGACTTTTACCAAGCATACTGCTTGTAAACATTTTGTTAACAAGGCACATCCTGCACAGCCCTAGATCCCTTAAATCTTGATTCCATACAACACATGTTTTTGTGATCTCAAGGTGGGGGCAAAGAGGTTGGGGCAAAGTGATTGGGGCAAAGTTACAGATTAACAGCATCTCAGGGCAAAGCAATTGTTCAAAGTATAGGTCAAAATGGAATTTCTTATGTCTTCCCTTTCTACATAGACAAATAACAGTCTGATCTCTCTTCCTTTTCCCTACAAAATAGAAATGATCATTAGCAACAGAAGAAAACTAAAACGAATAACATATTTTTTTAAAGTAACATATTGGCTAGGCATAGTGGCTCATGTCTGTAATCCCAGCATTTTGGCAGGTGGAGGCGGGCAGATCACTTGAGGTCAGGAGTTCAAGATCAGCCTGGTCAACATGGTGAAACCTCACCTCTATTAAAAATACAAAAAAATGGGCTGGGCACCTTGGTTCATGCCTATAATTCCAGCACTTTGGGAGGCTGAGGCGGGTAGATCAGGAGGTCAGGAGTTCAAGACCAGCCTGATCAACATGGTGAAACCCTGTCTCTACTAAAAATACAAAAATTAGCCAGGCATGGTGGCACATGCCTGTAATCTCAGCTACTCAAGAGGCTTAGGCAGAAGAATTGCTTGAACCTGGGAGGTGGATAGCCGGGCATGGTGGCACGTGCCTGTAATCCCAACTACTCAGGAGGCTGAGGCAGGAGAATCACTTGAACCTGGGAAGCGGAGGTTACAGTGAGCCGAGGTTGTGCCATTGTACTCCAGCCTGAGCGATAGAGCAAGACTCTGTCTTCAAAAAAAGAAAAAAGACAAAAACAAAAAAAAAAGCCGGGTGTGGCTGGTGCCTGCCTGTGATCCCAAATACTCAGAAGGCTGAGGCAGGAGAATAGCTTGAATCTAGGAGACTGAGGTTGCAGTGAGTCAAGATGGCACCACTGCATTTCAGTCTGGGGGACAGAGTTAGGCTCTGTTAAAAAAAAAAAAAAAGAAATGCAGCAGTGTATTATGCTTATGCTTAGGATTTAGGCTGAACTACCATTTAAAATATATTGTATCCTTTCACTCTTCCTTTCCTAAGATTCCACATAGATATTGTAGAGAAGTCCAAACTCAACAACATTTGTTTACATTACTAAGGTCTTTAAAATTTTAAATAGATTTAAGTATTTACCTTAACCAACACTAAATGCATAGAGACTTGTCTCCACCGAAAATGAGCTTAATTCATATTTTTCTCAAACACTTGCCAAAACCTTAAACTTAAACCCATTTTCAATGCAAGTAGTGGCTAACTTTTTTTGTGCATATCTTTTTGCCTTTTTGCCATTTCCTTAGCCAGATGTGCCTATTTTTTTTTTTTTTTTGAGATGGAATTTCCCTTGGTCACCCAGGCTGGAGTGCAATGGCACATCCTCATCTCACTGCAACCTCAGCCTCCTGGGTTCAAGCGATTCTCCTGCCTCAGCCTCCTGAGTAGCTGGGACTACAAATGTGCACCACCATGCCCAGCTAATTTTTGTATTTTTAGTAGAGACAGACTTTCACCATGTTGGACAGGATGGTTTTGATATCTAGATCTCGTTATCTGCCCACCTCGGCCTCCCAAACTGCTGACATTACAGGCCTGAGCCACTGTCCCCAGTTGTGCCTATATTTTTAAAAGATTAAAGGTTTTTCCAAAATAAAGAGAAACTACAGGATTTTGTTCTGAGATTCAGTCAAGACCTGGTAAGACAGATAATTCAGAGCAAGCTTTGATCTTATCAATGTTTATATCAGCTGAAAGAAACACTCGCACACTCAGAGTCTTTCCTAGTGATTAAAGAATTTAATTTTCATTCACAATTCACAGTAAGGAATTGTTGTCAGAAAATACTGGATTTCAATATAGCATTTTCTCCTTTTTTGTTGTTTTAATGGCATAATATGCTATGTGTGAAGTCAACATGAGGAGAGACAAAAAGAACAAGTTTATAAATGTGGTTATATTGACCCCTAACCTAGGAAAAAATGACAATATTGACATTAAAATTTGCATTGTTTGCCTCTGGCTTTCATGGGAATTTTTTTGTTTGTTTGTTTGTTTTTGTTTGTTTTTTTGTTTTTTACACTTGGTATGCCATTTTTAATGTTACTTATAAGTAGCATTAGAATTGTATGGGAGCTTTTGTTTCTTTTGTTTTGGAGGATGTGATTCTTAAAATGAAATTAATTTTTTTAGAACTTAAAATATATCAAGGCAAGGACATTTCTAAGAGTAATACTGGAAAAGAACAGTTAATCGATGAATTCACCAGTAAGTTTAAGTCAATTTAAAATTAACTTAGCACATTATATGTTCATAGCACTCTGTGGACCAGTAGGGAATACAAAAATGAAAAAAATCCTGACACTGTTTTATCAGTGAAAAGAGACAGTTCATTAACTTACTAAGATGTATGGCAGAGTAATGTATGTGCTAAATTATGACATATACAATAAAGTCTGCGGGAACCAAAGGATATGTCAATGAGTTTCAATAAAGGTTCAGGGACATCTTCAGAGAGGACAGAACAGTGGAATTTTTTAACTTAAATTTTATGGGGGATGGTAGGAAATTCCAGGTGGCCAGATGGTTTGACTAAATGCATGGTAGTTAGAATGTGTTGGCTCTATTCATGAAACAATGAATTCCATATGTCTGGGACATTAGGTACTGATGTGAACATGGAAGAAAATAGTGGGGGCAAAGGAGAAAAAGGAGAAATGGGAATTTCTGTCTGCATCATGCCAAGCATTATAATTTTACTTTCTAGACCAAGAAGATATTTTTATGTTTTTTTTGAGCAGACAAGTGACAAAGTGAGATATTTATGCTTTAGAAAGTTTAGTTGTATCAAAATGTAGAAAATGTTTTAAGAAATAAGAAATAAAGACTGTATGGCAAACTTTGAGATATTTTAAAAATAGGCTAAATTAAGAGCCTAAACTAGAAAAATATTTTTCTAAGAGAAATAATGTGTTGGTACTATTAAACATGATAGGGGAAAATTGATGGGAATCAGTGACTAATTAAACATGAGATGTAAAGAAATGAAATAATTTGATAGAATTCTGAGGTTTTAAGCCTGGGTAACTGGGAGAATGGTGATGCATTCTGCAGAGGTAGGAAATGTTGAAGATACAACTGATTTTTGAATACTAGTAATTTTACAGTCATGCACCATGTCAATACATTTCAGTAAATGGTGGACCACATATTGGTCCTGTAGGATTTTAATGGAGCTGAAAAATTCCTGTTTCCTAGTGATGTCATTGTCAATGTAATATCATTGCACAATTCATTACTCACATGTCTGTGCTGATGCTGGTGAAAACAGACCTATTGTGCTGACAGGCCTCTAGCACATATAATTACTTACAGAACATAATACCTGATAATGATAATAAGTGATAATATTACTGGTTCATATATTTACTACTCTATTCTTTATATCTTTTTTTTTTTTTTTTGAGATGGAGTCTCCCTCTGTTGCCCAGGCTGGAGTTGCAATGGTGTGATGTCGGTTCACTGCAACCTCCACCTCCCAGTTTCAAGTGATTTTTCTGCCTCAGCCTCCCAAGTAACTGGGACTACAGGTGCCCACCACTGCACCTGCCTAATTTTTGTATTTTTAGTAGAAACAGGGTTTCACCATGTTGGCTAGGCTGCTCTTGAACTGCCACCCTCAAGTGATCCTCCCGCCTCAGCCTCCCAAATTGCTTGCATTACAGGTTTGAGCCACCACGCCTGGCCCTTTTTATCATGTTTTGAGAGGGTACTACTTATTAAAAAAGAAAAAGAAAACAACAGTAGAGCAATTTCAGGCAGGTCCTTCAGGAGGTATCCAGAAGGAGGGATTGTTATCATAGGAGATGTCAGCTTCATGTGTGTTATTGCCCCAAGGAACTTCCATTGAGACAGAATATGAAGGTGGAAGACAATGATGTTGATGATCCTGACCCTGTATAGGCCTAAACTAATGTGCGTGTTTGTGTTTGTTTTTATAAAAGAGTTAAAAAGTAACACAAAAATTAAAAATTGGAAAAAGCTTATAGACTTAGATATAAAGAAAATAATATTTTTTTAAAAAGTTGTACAATATGTTTATCTTTTAAGCTAAGAGTTGTGACAAAGGAGCCAAAAGTTAAAAAAGTATATTAAATAAAAAAAATTACAGTAAGCTAAAGCTAATTTATTATTGATAAAAGAAAACAATTTAAAAATAAATTTGGCATAGCATCTAAGTGTACATCCAGTACTGCTAAAGTCTACAACAGTGCCCGTAATGTCCTAGGCCTTCATATTCACTCACCACTCACTCACTTACCCAGAGCAACTTCCAGCTCTGCAAGCTCCATTCATGGTAAGTGCCCTCTACAAGTGTACCCTTTTTTTTTTTTTTACTGCAACTTTTCTATGATAAGATGCAAAATACCTACCACTGTGTTACAGTTGCCTGCAGTATTTAGTACAGTAACACGCTGTACAGATTTGTAGCCTAGGAGCAACAGGCTACATATACTCTATCATATACTCTAGCAGAGTAGTAGGCTATCCCATCTATGTTTGTGTAAGTACACTCTGAGATATTTGCACAATAACAAAACTGCCTAAAGATATATTTCTCCAAATTTATTCCATCATCAAGTGATTCATGCCTGTATGCACACATATGCAGGGGCATGCAGAGAGGGCAATTCCTGTGTCCCAGGCACTGCTTTATGCTTGATAAATCTGTTATTCACCCTCACTACAATCTTACCCAGAGACAGGCACCCTTATTTTCCCCATTTCACAAATAAATAAACTGAACACAGGTAATTTATGTAACTTGCCTAAGATCACATAACTAGAAAAGAGAGAAAAGAAATTTAAGCTGATTATAGAGCTCTTTCTATTAACGATTATGATATACTTTGTAATGTTATTTCTAGCTTTGATCATTTTATGAAGGAAAATAAAATAGATTAACAAAATTCAAAAATCTTTAACATAAAATTATAAAAGAACTTGATTAATGTTATAAAGTGAGGGATAGTCCAGGCGAGGTGGCTCATGGCTGTAATCCCAGCACTTTGGGAGGCTAAGGCAGGTGGATCATGAGGTCAGGAGATTGAGACCATCCTGGCTAACATGGTGAAACTCCATCTCTACTAAACATACAAAAAATTAGCCGGGCATGGTGGAGGGCACCTGTAGTCCCAGCTACTTGGGAGGCTGAGGCAGGAGAATTGCTTGAACCTGAGAGGCCGAAGTTGCAGTGAGCCAAAATCCTGCCACTGCACTCCAGCCTGGGTGACAGAGCAAGACTCCATCTCAAAAAAAGAAAAAAAAAATTTAAAAAAAATTAAAATGAGGGATAAATGGGGCTGGGCATGGTGGCTGATGCCTGTAATCTCAGCACTTTGGGAGGCCGATGTGGGCAGATTGCCTGAGCTCAGGAGTTTGAGACCAGCCTGGGCAACATGGTGAAACCCCGTCTCCATTAAAAATACAAAAATTAGCTGGGCATGGTGATGGGTGCCTGTGATCCCAGCTACCTGAGAGGCTGAGCATGAGAATCACTTGAACCCAGGAGGGAGAAGTCATAGTGAGTCGAGATAACGCCACTGCACTGACAAAGGAAGACTCTGTTTCAAAAAAAAAAAGAAAGTGAGGGATAAATGCAGAGAAAGAAAAACAATCATAGAGATTCCCCTTAACTTCTACCACTAAAAGCAGACACACACACACACTCACTATAAGAAACAAGGTCAAAAGGAAAATGTCTTTACATATGAAGCCTTCCATTTACAGCTTAACTATCCCTGGAGGTCTCGTCTAAGGACAACCCTTTTAAAAAGCCATGGTGTGTAAATGAATATGTATTTTGTGTATATTCAGTATATTCAAGGTAAATAGTTGTTTTTATTAAAATAACAAGGGAAAAATAGTGGACCTTCATCTCTCATGAAGAACATGACAGGATGAACTGTTTAGGTCAAATTTTAAAAGACCAGGCTGGGTGCGGTGGCTCACACCTGTAATTCCAACACTTTGGGAGGCCAAGGCAGGCAGACCACCTGAGGTTGGGAGTTTGAGACCAGCCTGACCAACATGGAGAAACCCTGTCTCTACCAAAAATACAAAATTAGCCGGGCATGGTGGTGCATGCCTGTAATCCCAGCTACTCTGGAGGCTGAGGTAGGAGAGTGGCTTTAACCCGGGAGGTGGAGGAGGTTGCTGTGAGCTGAGATTGCACCACTGCATTCTAGCCTGGGCAACAGAGCAAGACTCCATCTCAAAAAAATAAATAAATAAAAAATAAAAAACAAAAAATAAAAAAATAAGAATTAGGAAGACCAATTTAATAATAAGGTAAGTTACAAAGAAAATTTGTAGGCCGGGCGCGGTTGCTCAAGCCTGTATCCCAGGACTTTTGGAGGCTGAGGTGGGCAGATCATGAGGTCAGGAGATCCATACCATCCTGTCTAACATGGTGAAAAACAGTCTCTACTAAAAACACAAAAAATTAGCCAGGTGTGGTGGTGGGTGCCTGTAGTCCCAGCTAATCGGGAGGCTGAGGCAGGAGAATGGCATGAACCCTGGAGGCAGAGCTTGCAGTGAGCCAAGACTGCACCACTGACTACAGCCTGGGCGACAGAGCAAGATTCCATCTCAAAAAAAAAAAAAAAGAAAATTTGTGAATTTGTATGCAGTTCACTTGCCTGACCCATAAATAAACATGAATGAGTAAAATGGAAGCTCAGCTTAATAATGAGCTATTGCACAATAGGAAGAAATAAGTTAGGGATGGATACAAATTGAAAGAAGGATAAATGTATGCTAACATCTTATCTTGATCTATAAGTCTAAAAACATCTTAAAAGACCAGATGATTAAAAAAAATAGTAACTTTAATTGTTAAAAATGATCATTTGGCCGGGCGCGGTGGCTCACGCCTGTAATCCCAGCACTTTGGAAGGCCGAGGCGGGCGGATCATGAGGTCAGGAGATCGAGACCATCCTGGCTAACAAGGTGAAACCCCGTCTCTACTAAAAATACAAAAAAAATTAGCCGGGCACGGTGGCGGGCGCCTGTAGTCCCAGCTACTCGGGAGGCTGAGGCAGGAGAATGGCGTGAACCCGGGAAGCGGAGCTTGCAGTGAGCCGAGATTGCTCCACTGCAGTCCGCAGTCCGGCCTGGGCGACAGAGCGAGACTCCTTCTCAAAAAAAAAAAAAAAAAAAAAAGATCATTTATTTTTCCTCAGGTGGTGGCTCAGTGTTCACTCTGAAAAATGAAAAATTGTCCATTTTTGTGAAAAAGTTCTACTGATATGTGAAGTTACCACATTTATTCATTGAATTATCTTCTTGAGTGAATGACATAGAACCCCGATAGATAAATTAGTATGTTAAAATTAAAAGATTATCTAATAAACAACTTTTCTGTTTTAATAAAATTGTATTTTGATATATTTGAAAGATTTTTATTGTAGTGAAAAATATATATAAAATAAAAAATAATGATGTTGGATAATATCATAAATGATTTCTAAGGTAGAAGGTTCTATTGTTTAGAAAAACATCCTTGAGAACCTTTTTTCATGAGGCACTAAATTCCTTGGTATAATAGGGTACCCTAGACAAAGTAGCTTGTTTTTTTTTTCTTTTTTTTTGAGAGTCTTGCTCTGTCACCCAGGCTGGAGTGCAGTGGCACAAATCTCGGCTCTTTGTGACCTCTGCCTCCCAGGTTCAAGTGATTATCTTGCCTCAGCCTCTTGAGTAGCTGGGATTACAGACACACTCCATCATGCCCAGCTAATTTTTGTATTTGTAGTAGAGACAGGGTTTCACCATGTTGGTCAGGAGGTTTTGAACTCCTGACCTCGTGATCCGCCAGCTTTGGCCTCCCAAAGTGCTGAGATTACAGGCATGAATCACTGCACCCGGCCACTTTTAGAATATTTAATGCTTCATAAATATGATGTAAAAAAGGGTGAGCTGTAACGTT
Organism: Homo sapiens; assembly: GCF_000001405.40. NCBI lineage: Eukaryota > Metazoa > Chordata > Mammalia > Primates > Hominidae > Homo > Homo sapiens. Next base: position 18,311,660 of record NC_000014.9, on the reverse strand, counting down.
AAGTAGTAACTAAGAGGAGTGCCAAGTTACCACCAGGCAGTTAGCAAGAGGGGGCAAGGCAGCCCCAGGTGTAGAATTAATAATGTGAGAGAGACTAGAAGTTCCAAGAAAATGGTAGGGTGGGGTGGAGAAATTCCTTCTGTTGGGAATAAATGAGGAGATTCAGGATAGTGGTGGCAATATATGCATGTATATATGTGTGTGTGTATATATGTGTATACGTGTATATATGTGTGTATGTATATATGTATATATATGTATATGTCTGTATATGTGCATATATATGCATATATGTGTATATATATATGCATGTTTATGCATTTTGCTGCTCTTCGTGGGATGTAATTCTCCCTTATCTCCTCCTCATAGTGGTCTTGAATTAATGGTGCTTGGTGCTAAGGTGGGGGTGAAAGTGGAATGAGTCTCCTCACTAGAGGGAACTGAGTAGAGAAAACATGATCTGCTCTGGAGCACAGAGAAGAGGGCAGGCACCAACAGTAAGTGAGGAGAGGCCAAGCCCAACTAACCAAGAAACTCCCAGAAAATATGGAAGACTCTGAATGCTGTGAAGCACAGGGGATAAAGGAATCAAGATTTTTTTTTTTTTTTGAGATGAAGTCTCACTCTGTTGCCCAAGATGAGTGCAGTGATGTGATCTTGGCTCACTGCAACCTCTGCCTCCTGGGTTCAAGCTATTCTCCTTCCTTACCCTCCTGAGTAGCTTGGATTACAGGCACTTGCCACCATGCCTGGCTAATTTTTTTGTGTCTGCGATAATATTTTGTCTTCAGCAAAATTCTATTATTGACCTTAATACATAGAACCTTATTTGTCTGCATGTCTGGTTTGTGAGCAGAGATTATTTTGAGTCCTCAAAACCTAGAGCAGTGCAGTTGTAAAAGGCTTTGACTGAAGTCTTAACAAATATTTGCTAAACTGAATTTTGTAGAAATGTTCCAGACTTTAGCATGGAATTTACAATTCACACATTCTTGTTATATTCAAATAATAAACTTTACTGAGTAAGCAGAATTTAATATTAACAAGAAAACAGTGAAATAATGTATGGATTAATTCTGAATTGCAAATTTAACTTTAATGTTAAAAGTTTCCATAAGTTATCTCCAAGCCTGGAAATAAATCCGAAATTGGTCTTAGTTATATATTTGTAAAATGCATATTCATATGAAGAATGAAACGCATCATCCTATATCTTCCCTTTTTTTTTCTGATTTTGTGACTTGGATTTGTTTTTACCAAAATTCAGGGATTCCCCCCTAATCCCAATGAGAATAATGTCTTAAATAAATGGAATTAAGAAGCTTCAAAATTCTTTTTTTTTTTTTTTTTTTTTTTTGAGATGGAGTCTAACTCTGTCACCCAGGCTGGAGTGCAGTGGTGCAATCTCAGCTCATGCAATTTCCACCTCCCCAGATCAAGGGATTTTCTTGCCTCAGCCTCCCGAGTAGCTGGGACTACAGGTGCGTGCCACCATGCTCGGCTAAATTTTTGTATTTTTAGTAGAGATGGGGTTTCACCATGTTGGCCAGGATGGACTCGATCTCCTGACCTCGTGATCCACGTGCCTCAGCCTCCCAAAGTGCTGGGATTACAGGCGTGAGTCACCACACCTGGCCCAAAACTCTTTAAAGTACTCAACCTATCATAAGACTAGTAGGTGTTTCTCAACTCTCCTTCTCAAAACATGAGATCATGAGGTCTTAATGCTGAAGATTATTGATTATTTTATGTAGAGAACATGGAAGAAAGCTGGACTGTGCTCTGGCTCAATCAGCTCCACTTGCACACCTCTCAGCAATTCTCAATTCTCACCACCAGAGAGAAGAAGGCAATCCCTACCTGACCATCACCTGGCCTGGCTACCTTATCTGTCTAAACAGTGCATTGCAGGAGCCCCTTTCCTTTCTGTGCTGTTTTATTTTTTCTCCTCCAGCACTATTTTTCTAATTAGAATAATTGAAGAGAAATACAAGATTTTCATGGAATGAAAGCAAAAGTCTTCCAAGTATGAGAAAAATAGAACAAAGGCTGTTTATATCCATATTGATTATAGTGGGAAGGTATTGTTGTAATAAATGTGATGGTTATTAAAGCAAGTCTTGATTTTAAGGAAATGTTTTATCTTGGGACTGTGACAGGAGATTATGTGATGTTCATGAGATGATCATACTGTCTCTGTCCAGGTCTCTGTAACATGTAGAACACAACCAAGGTAGAGGTTCAGTCCCATTTCATTTACAGAAACAGCTTGTTCCTCAGTAGTATTCTATATATAAAAAGTAAACACACACACTATAGTTCATAGAGAATACATTCACATGGATTACTAGGAAAACTAAAGTATCCTTTAAAAATAATTTAAAAAGAGCCAGGTGCAGTAGCTCATGCCTGTAATCCCAGTACTTTAGGAGGCTGAGGACGGATCACTTGAGGTCAGGAGTTCAAGACCAGCCTAGCCAACATGGTAAAACTCCATGTTTACTAAAAATACAAAAATTAGCCAGGTGTGGTGGCATGCTACTCTAATCCCACCTGCCTGGGAGGCTGAAGAAGGAGAATCACCTGAACCTGGGAGGCAGAGATTGCAGTGAGCCAACATCATGCCAGTGCACACCAGCCTGGGTGACAGAGCAAGATGTTGTCTCAAACAAAAAATAAAGAAATAAAAATAAAAATAATAAAAAAGGCATTCTTCTCAAAAAACTATATTTCTATTAGATATTTTTTATCTCAAAACATAAAAGGTAAGTTTTGAAATAACTAATAGTTAATAAGAAAAACATGTAAATAGTATGTAACTAGAATTGTTAATTTCTTGAAACTTAAGGTTTGTTTTTATGTTATGTTAGCAGGATATGTAAATCTAATGACATTCAAAAAACATAAAGTGAGAAAAAAAGAGGCTGGTATTGCACATGCATGTATTTACTATATTCTAATAATGGTCAAGTTGTTTAATTGCTTCATGAATATCTAGGCTTCATTATAAGTCTTCAGCTAAAATTTTGCCCATTTTGGTGAAGGAACTGTGTGTGTCACATAAGGAGAGCTTAATGTTAGTATTTACCACAGCCTTACTAATATAATCCTATAATATTGTTCTCCATGTTCCCAAAATTAAAAAGTAGTCTAATTCTACATATGAACTCAAAATAAATGTATACTGTTATGTGTTATGTGGCATAACTCAAAATAATTAGAACTAAACACAGCTCTTATTTTCTCACACATACTGAGTATGGAATTACTATTATTTTTGTTTCCTTGAACAGAGGTAGGTGAAACTTGATAATATAGTCACTGACTGAAGGGCATTGTTTTGCCAAAGTTCGTTAAGTTAAAAAATATTTTGGATCAATAAATGTCTTTCATTAAAATATTCACCTACATAAAATAAGTATTCAGAATTGCATAGGACATATGAATGTCATCTTTCTTTTGCTGTTCATTTACCCAACATTTTTCTTCTTTATATATATGCCAGGTTGAAAATTGTCATCCCATACTCTTTTCAGCTAAGAATATTTCTGTGTTGGGAATATCTTGAATTTCCCTCAAGGGTTGATGATATTGCCCACAAAGACTTTAGGCAATTTTGATGGCCAGAATGAAATCAGGCAGCTAAGATATTTATTTTTAAAAGAAAAGAATAGAAAACTTTGTATTCTAATCATGCATCGTAGGAAGTATTTTTTTTTTTTTTTTTTTTTTTTTTTTTTTTTTTTTGAGAGACGGAGTCTTGTTCTGTAGAGCAGGCTGGAGTGGAGTGGCGTGATCTCGGCTTGCTGTAACTTCTGCCTCCCGGGATCAAGCGATTCTCTTGTCTCAGCCTCTGGGAGTAGCTAGGATTACAGACATGCGCCAACATGCCCAGCTAATTTTTGTAGTTTTAGTAGAGATGGGGTTTAGCCAAGTTGGCCAGCCTTCCTCAAGCGATTCTCTTGCCTCAGACTCCCAAGTAGCTGGGACCACAGGCGCCCGCCACTATGCCCGGCTAATTTTTTGTATTTTTAGTACAGGTTGGTTTTCACCGTGTTAGCAAGGATGGTCTCGATCTCTTAACCTCGTGATGAGCCCACCTCGGCCTCCCAAAGTGCTGGGATTACAGATGTGAGCCACGCCCCACTCTGGAAGTAATTATTAATAATGTTGTTTCTCCTTCCAGTTCTTCAGTTTGTTAAGCGCAACTGTGGAAAACATTTATTTGTCCCGGGAGATTATAGGAAAAAATTAAGTGAATCTACTTAAACATAAAATTCCCAGTTTTAGAATAGATTCTTTTTTTTTTTTTTTTTTTTTTTTGAGATGGAGTTTTGCTCTTGTCGCACAGGCTGGAGTGCAATGGCACAATCTGAGCTCATTGCAACCTCTGTCTCCCGGGTTCAAGTGATTCTCCTGCCTCAGCCTCCCAAGTAGCTGGGATTACAGGTGCCTGCCACCATGCCCAGCTAATTTCTGTATTCTTTTTTTGCAGACCATGTTGGCCTGGCTGGTCTCGAAATAACCTCAGGTGATCCGCCTACCTCGGCCTCCCAAAGTGCTGGGATTACAGGCTTGAGCCACCGTGCCCGGCCAGATTCAGATTTTTATTAGGGATGTCATTTAGCTAATTTAATGTATTTCTATGCCATAGTTCATATTTTCTGTGCTGTAAGTATTTTCTATATGTCTGATTTATGTTGGAGAATAGTATCTCTTTAGATGCAGGGGCATACTGTGAGCATCTACACCATGGCAAATGGCTTTGCATTTTGCACTCTATACCATTGCCAAAAAAAGGTTTGATTATGCTACTAAAAATCCGACATGAATCAGTGAACACCAAAAGCCAATAATTTTAGAATCTCAAAATAGTGGAATAGTTAGAATTGTGATATTTTCAGTTTATTTTCTCCATCAATTTTCATTAGAAAGCGAGTAAGGAAAGTGGTAGAATTTAGGAGTTAAAAAATCAAATTAGCGGGCAGGGCTTGGTGGCTCACGCCTATAATCCCAGCACTTTGGGAGGCTGAGGTGGGCGGATCATGAGATCAGCAGATCGAGATCATCCTGGCCAACAGGGTGAAACCCTGTCTCCACTGAAAATACAAAAAATTAGCCGGGCATGGTGGCAGGTGTCTGTAATCCCAGCTACCCAGTAGGTTGAGGCAGGAGAATGGCGTGAACCCGGGAGGTGGAGCTTGTAGTGAGCCAAGATCACGCCACTGCACTCCAGCCTGGGCGATAGAGCGAGCCTCTGTCTCAAACAACAACAACAACAACAAACAAATTAACACCTTGCTTATTATAATAAAGAACTAAAATAATCCAATACCTGTAACCTAGAGAATAAGGTTCACATAACTTAAAATGGCAATATATATAAAAGAAAAGATTGGTTCTACTACATACATCAGGCTTATTAAGTCACACTAGACAACTGAGGTTGCCTAAGACGTCATTGTCCTGGACTTGCAAGGGCCTCCAACTCCAGTTAAGGTGATAAGAAAAAATGAAAACGAGCAACCTAGCAATTTTCACAGGCCTCAGGAAACTGGGGCCACATCGAACCCAGTCACAGGTTATACCAATTTGATTTACAACAAGGAAAGAACCATCTACTTATACTTGAGTTACAGCACATCCCTTTGTAGACATCCATACAATAGAAAGCTCCAGCAGTTGATTCACAGTAGAACAAAGTGTTTGTGTCAAGCAAAGGAAATTCTGCACTTAGATGAAATTTTATCAGCACATTTAATTAAAAGATGGTGTAGGTAGGCATAAGTAAGAAAACCATAAGCAGACATAGTCAACATACTAGGTAAGTAAAGCCAAATCCAGAAGGTTGTATTTAGTAATATTCATTTCAGATTTCCTTGGATAATTGTGGTTTGCCTTACATCTTTTGACTATGACACAGAGATTTTATTAACTTTTTAAAATATCTCCTAGAATGTAGCTTGAGTCAGTCAAACAGGAAAACATATTACAGCATTCTCTCTTTTACCTCCCCCAAAGCACTGTAATATGGCTTTTGGAAATATTTCCTCATTGTCCTTTAGTTTTTGGAATGATGTCTGAGATACTGCTGTATGTAAATACAATGATATTCCATATTTCCTATAAGTTTGCCTATTCAGAAAGCTGCATTTACATACATGCTGAAACACAATCGCTGGTGATGTATCAACCAGAAATTTTATGTGTGAGCCTAAAAGGAAGTGTTAAGTCTTCCTCTACTTAAATAATTAGAAATTAAAAGTACCTCTTCTGCATTCTACAGTTTATATAATATTAAAAGAAGGAATTTTGGTAAAATAACTGAGGTTATCAGTTCAGTTCAATTTATAAATTTAGTGACATCAACTTGTCCCAGCAAAATAATCAGTGGATACTCCATAATCACCACTGTTTCTGTTTTCAAGGGGAGAGAAAAACAAATAAATTAATTGTATTATATGTTACAATCTTGGGTAAATTCTTTTCTAAATTGGTGGGTATAGCACAGCAAATCAAAGGTTGATAACATAAAATAGTGGACTAAACTTCAGCTCTAAAAAGTTAACAAATCTTGAAGTCTGCTTGCTCAGTTGTAAAATGGGGATAATATTCTCACCTTTGAGTATCTCACACAGTTGCTGTAGGATTTATTTGAGAAAAAATATGCGTAAAGATGCTTTGGAAATTATAAAACTGCATCCTAATACAGAGTAAAATTATAAAATTTGATTTGAATGATACCAACTAGTTGGGGATAAAATATTTTACATAAGAACTCCCTGAAAAAGGCAATCATGTGTCATGTTATGTTTGTCATCAAGGATGACAAGGTTTCAATTTGCCTAGGTCAGAAATGCTGTGGTTCTATTCCCTCAACAACTAGTTACTTCTGCTTCGAGTACATGTTTTCCAAAAGCTAGAAAACACCCATCAAAAGGCTACTTTCCAAACATAAAAAACAGGTTTACTTCAACACATTATGTCTGTAGGAAGAGTCAAATGAAACAAAACTACTGAATCATTTCCAGGATAGAGTCATAGTATCCAAAATTTGGAACAGAATTGGATGATAGTTGTAGGTCAAGTCCCTTTGCAGGTATAAATCCCCCCTTTAAAGTGGAAAAGTATACAAATTGTGTAATATAGGTTTACATTATAGACTATACATGACTGGAATTTCAGAGGCATGTATGCAATATGAGTTTAGCATGGAGAAATAGCCAACTGGGTAAACATAATTGATCCATGCTGCTATGAAAGATAATCAAAGCTAAGTTGATTGCCAGTTACACATTTAGATCTTTTATGCAGTGAATTATGATAAGCAGATGCAGATTTTTTTGTTTCAGGCATTTCCCCTAAAAACTATCCTACATAAGGAAATTTCCTTTATGAATATGCCAGTTACTGTGTCTATTACAGGTCTTCCAAAACATACTATTGTAGGATTTGTGAATAAATATAATGGATGGAAGCAAATTAATGTTTTAGAATCTAATAAATTTTAAAAGTCAACTTAACTGAGGTTTACTTTCAATACAATAAAATACATCCAAATTAAGTACAAACATATAAAGTTATGTGGCTACCACCAATGAAGATATTGAAGCTGTCTATCACCTCAAAAGTTCTTTTGTACTCCTTACCAAAACCTCTGGCTCCAAGCAGCCATTGATCTGCAAACTTCCACTATAAATTCAGTTTCTAGAATTTTGTAATAATAAACTTTTATAATATGCCTACTGTTGTTTCATTCTCTCAATATATTTTAGGATCACCTATGTTGCAAAATCAGTGGTTCTTTCTATTTTATTCTATTGTATGGAAATACTACAATATGTTTATCCTTTAGCCTGTTGGTGAACCATTTACAAATGTTTCTATTCCTTGATTATCACAAGTAAAGCTGCTATGTTCATTTGTATGCACATGTTTTCATTTCTCTTGAGTAAGTAAGAATGGAATAGTCTAGGTCAAATTGTAAGTGTATGTTTAACTGCCAAACTGCAATCCAAACTGATTATCCACTTTATAGTCCCACCTAAATATGATAATTCAGGGTGTTGTATGTCCTCTCAAACATTCAGAATTGACATTTTTTGGATCCATTATAGTTTCTGTGCAGTGTTATTGCATTTTGATTTTTAAGTTCCATTCCCAGGTGGTTAATGATGCATTTTTCAGTGTTTATCAATCATTCATATATCTTTGGTTATTGTCGTCTACTCAAATATCTTGCCCATTTTGTTATTGTGTTGTTTGACTTCTCACTATGGAGTTTGATTTTTTTTTTTTTTTTTTTTTGGAGATGGATTCTTGCTCTGTCACCCAGGCTGGAGTGCAGTGGCAAGATCTCGGCTCACTGCAAGCTCTGCCTCCTGGGTTCACGCCATTATCCTGCCTCAGCCTCCTGAGTAGCTGGGACTACAGGCTCCCACCACCACGCCTGGCTATTTTTTTTTTGTATATTTTTAGTAGAGACAGGGTTTCACCGTGTTAGCCAGGATTGTCTCGATCTCCTGACCTTGTGATTCAGCCACCTTGGCCTTCCAAAGTGCTGGAAATAGAGGTGGAGTTTGATATTTTTTTCTACATGTCCAGTAAAGTCTTTTGTAAAATTATTTTTCTTTCTCTCTTTGACCATATCTATATCTATCCATCTATATCTATACAGTTATAAAAATACAAACTCATAAAACTCAAGAAACCCTAAGCAACATAACACAAGTAAGCCACAAGACAAGTCAGGGAGCTAGGAAGACCACAGGGTTTGAAGAGTACAGGGCAGGACAGGGCTCCACAGCATGTCCAGGCTCCATTGTGAACAGCCCTGCAGCTTGGGTCATATGACCTTGCAGGACCTGTATTCTTGCAGATGTCAGTGGTGGTCGCAGTGTGGCACACATGGCAATTCTCAGTGAAAGAATTACAACACCAGCTCCTGGGATTCTGAAACAAAGCCATGCCCTCCATGGCAGAGAATTATATGTTGGACCTAGGAGAGATGCTGTGCTTGATAAGTTACCATGCTTCTGGTGCTACCTCTTGCAGGCTGAGTTCTATTGAAACCACCGAGTCATGACACCAGAAGGGAAAAGAAGTAGTTCATCATGAGGTGGAAATAGTAAATATAAGACAAAGGCCAAGCAAGATGAGAGCAAGTGGATAAGTTGAATAGCAGGTAACCCAGATCCTCATGTCACCCACCATGTTTCCACCAGCAACCTTCCTTCAGCTCACACCTGTGACTGCATTTGTGTCCCTGTGGCCATCTGAAGGAGGGAGAAAGGGGCAATCTCTGTTTAAAGGTGTAGTTGCATTGCAGCCCAATGCAAGAATGACTCTGAAAGACAGAAGGAAATTAAAATATTCCCTATTAGCAGCACTGGGAGCAGTGGCCCTGGCCATCTACTTTACATAGAAGAAGCATGGCCTAAGGCAGGAATATAAACAGATTTCTTTGCCGTAGTCAGTGGGTGAATCATCTTGTCAGAGGCTTAGATAGAAAAGAACTGAAATATCTGAGACAAGGAAGCTGGGTTAGAAGCATATGGGTGGACATGCAGGAGCAGGCATGGAGTGTAAAGAATCTTGTATTGCATGTTAACACTCACAAGAAAGCACTCACCAGAGAAGAGGCACTCAATAACCAATCAGACAAAATGACTTGACAAGCTGCCAGCCTTGGAGATTGGCTTTCCCACAACAAGTACAACAGTCACACATATGCAGTCACTCATATGACCATGTTAGCAGAGATGGACGATACATATGGGCCCCACAGCCTGGACTTCTATGTATCAAGGTTTATCTAACTACTGCTGCCTCTGACTGTCCTACTTTTCAACAGCATAAATCAATAATGAGACTCTTATATGGCAAGTCTTTTGACCTTGAATGACCAACTTTTCATCCTCAGAGGGATATATCCTTATTCCAGGGCTGGGTTTGGCACTTCTGTTCACAGAGCCTGAGCCAGGACCACTTTTCTGAGGCTTCCAGAATTCCTGATCCACAGGCATAAAATCCCACATGGTATAGCATTTGACCAGGTTTCCTTGTTCACAGCAAAGGATGGGCAGAAGTGGGTCCATGACCATGTGATCTACTATTTGTATTACATACACTCTTCAAGAAGCAGCTAGACTCATGGAGCCCTGGAGAAACATTCTAAAGATGCAACTGAGGCACTATGCTAAAGGAGACATTCTGAATGCAGGGGGCACCATCTTTTATACATATTCTATCACAGATCTTTATATAGTAGTTGTTCTTCCATAGGAAGAATCTACAGGTTCAGAAAACAAGAGGTAGAAACAGGAATGTCCCTAATTACAAATGCTCCCAATAATCTTCTCAGGTTTTCCTGTGCTTCTCATCACTGCAGCTCTGGGCTCTGGAAGGCAGGCAAGTCCTGCTCTCTAAAGAATGTTATCTGTTAGGTGCTTTAGATTCCTTAGGTCCAGTAACCAAAAGACAAGAAATACGTCACCACTGGGGCAGGATGAATACACCCTGATTAGTAGGAGGAGGCAGGGCTACTTTTCTACAAAAGAAGCAGAGATAATTTCTCTCTCTCTCTCACACACACACACACACACTCACACACACACACTCACACACACACACACACTCCCCATTCCCATACTCTCTCTCTCTCTTTCTCTCCCCCTCAAACAACTGGGCATTCAAAGGAAGTTCTGAGACCAACTGCTATAGCATGGGCAATAGTTGGTCTCATTAACCTTCCTTTTCTAAGATTCCCCTTGGAAAAGAGAGGATCATGGGAATTTTGGAAGAGCTGGTATGAAGAACCTGTTTGGACAAATATGTGTGTGCTGTGGTGGGGTTAGGAGGCGGGGGTAATGGATTTTAATGACCAAGGAAATTTGCAATGCAGATATCCTGAATCAGACAGCATAAGTCAGCGACAGCCTGGCTTTAGCCCTCTGTCTCTGGAAGCACTTCTACACTTGTGCAGCAGTCATGTTTCCAACGGTCATAGAGCTACATGGGGATTGTATGTGAGGACGTTTCTAGTGAGTTGTGAGAGTCTCCAATGAGTAACTTTAATTTAAGGAGTCCGCAGTGACCTAGGCCAAAGCATTCTTGGAACCATGCTGCAGTCTCTTTCTACTCCAATCAGCCTTCCTTCCCTCTTTCCCTCTACAGGTGTAAGATCTGCACCCTAGTCTGAAGACTCTACCCACCTTCTCCTGCTTCCTCCTTCTTCCCTCTTGCCAATTTAATTCCATGGTGGTGTTTGCCCTTAGCAGATCTAAACATTAATTCAAGTCATATGATCAGATAAGACGAAAAATGACTAAAAATGTCATTCATGACATGTGAGTGGTGAGCTCTGCCTGGCAGTAGGGAGGAGAGAATTCTGAGAGAAATTAATTTGGAAAAAACGATGCTGCACATCCCAGCAAATACCATCCCATCTTATCTCTGCTAGGAATATTTTTTGTAACATGCATATAATTCACTTTTGCTTTATGAAGTAAATTTATATTTTAAGAATACAGCAGCAATTTGAGTGCTGTTCACAGCTAGTGTGAACTGAAATTTGAGGTTGGCTATAGAAGAAGGCCAATGACAGACGGGTTAGTAGAACAAAATGGATATAAATAGGAAAAAGTGAAAAATCAGTAAGACAGTATGTTGGAAAGGAGTACAGTAGTTGGAAGAATTAATGATTCAATACTTCTATAAAGAGTCTCCATTTAGATGATTCAAAGAGTATCCATGAAGAAATGCACATTTTATTGAATATACAGAAGTGTGATTAGTGGTGAAGGAGGGTGAATTCTGTTTGTTATATGACTATAACCTGTAGAGAACTTCTCATTCAAGGTGAGTGTGCAAAAATATTACAAAACATGTGGAGAATTAACTATTAGAGAGATAATGAAATAATTATACAAAGAAACCTCCTAGAGATGAATTCACCACAACAAATATGAGAAATATTATAGCAAACTAAGTTTTCCTTTTAAGTGAGTACACTTAGAATTCTCAACTGGCTTTTTAAGAAGAAAACATCCAGGGCCAGGCATGGTGGCTGACGCCTGTAATCCCAGCACCTTGGGAGGCTGAGATGGGTAAATCATATGAGGTCGGGAGTTCAAGACCAGCCTGGCAAACACCGTGAAACCCCATCTCTACTAAAAATTCAAAAATTAGCAGGGCACGGTGGTGGGTGCATGTAATCCTAGTTACTCAAGAAGCTGAGGCAGAATAATTGCTTGACCCCAGGAGGCGGACTTTGTAGTGAGCCAAGATGGCATCACTGTACTCCAACCTGGGAAACAGAGTGAGCCTCTGCCAAAAAAAAAAAAAAGGAATAAAATTCATCAAAAAGAATAGAAGACTTAAAACTAAAAACAGACGCCAAGTGTGGTGGCTCACTCCTGTAATTCCAGCACTTTGGGAGGACAAGTTGGGTGGATCACGAGGTCAGGAGATGAAGACCATCCTGGCTAACACAGTGAAACCCTCTCTCTACTAAAAATACAAAAAAATTAGCCCAGCATGGTGGCGGGCACCTGTAGTCCCATCTACTCGGGAGGCTGGGGCAGGAGAATGGCATGAACCTGGGAGGCAGAGCTGGCAGCGAGCTGAGATCGCGCCACTGCACGCCAGCCTGGGAGACAGAGCTAGATTCCATCTCAAAAAAAAAAAAAAAAGAAAAGAAAAAAATATAAATAAAAACAGGCAAAAAACCAGGCGTAATGGCTTACGCCTGTAATCCTAACACATTGGGAGGCCAAGGTGGGTGGATCACCTGAGGTCAGGACTTCAAGACCAACCTGGCCAACATGGCGAAACCATAGCTGGGAATGATGGCAGGTGCCTGCAATCCCAGCTACTCCAGAGGCTGAGGTAAGAGAATTGATAGAACCCTGGGGGATTGCAGTGAGCAGAGATCATGCCATTGCACTCTGGCTGGGGCAACAGAGTAAGACTCTGGGGAAAAAAAAAAGCAGGCAAAAAAGAACAAAGTAAAGATTGATATAAAAAATTAAAAGCAGCCAGGCGTGGTGGCTCACACCTGTAATCCCAGCACTTTGGTAGGCTGAGGCGGGTGGATCATGATATCAGGAGTTCTAGACCAGGCTGACCAACATAATGAAACCCCGTCTCTAATAAAAATTCAAAAATTAGCCGAGTGTGGTGGCACATGCCTGTAATTCCAGCCACTCAGGAGGCTGAAGCAGGAGAGGAGGCTGAGGCAGGAAGAGAGTCACTTGAACCCAGGAGTAGGAGGTTGCAGTGAACCGAGATCATGCCACTGCACTTCAGCCTGGGTGACAGAGCAAGACTCCATCTCAAAAAAGGAAAAAAAAATAAAAGCACTAGAAATGAAAATTATATAAAAAAGAAGTGTAAATGCAATAAACACAAAGAATTAGTCAATTGGGAGATAATGATGAATTTATCCAGATAAAAGGATTTAAAAGTCAGAAAGACCAGTCAAGAAAGTCCCCAACACATGTATGATAGGAGTTTCAAAAGGAGTCCAAAGAGAATGGAGAAGCCATATTTAAGGACAGTATTCATCCACTCAGCACATTCTCACTAAGGGCCCACTTTGATGACGTTTCCATTCTAATGGTAGAGAATACTTATACACAAGAAAACACTGGCAATGCCTTCACTATTTGTATACTTTACACGATGCCATAAAATTTCCATTGCAGAGGAAAGACTTGAGGACTCTAATTTAAAGTATAAAACAAGTGCTGAGCAGAAGAAATAAAAATGAATCCATATCCAGACACATTGATGACTCTGAGTTTTAGTGTTTACAAAGCAGTTCTTTAAAATTAATTTTCAGTAAGAGGATGTGTATATCACCTTCACTGTTTTCCTTTTTGTTTTGATCTATTCCTCTTGCTTATTCTAGTTTGAAATGATTTCTTCAAAAAAAGTCTTAAAAGTCTTATCCATTTATGAATCGATTTATATATTTCATTTTCTAGATTATAATTTTTACTTTTCTGTTATTAATTTCCTTCCATTAGGTATGTTTTTTGATCCTGTATTTACTTACTGACATGAATGATTAACTCATTTATCTTCTCTGGCTTAGTAAAAAAAAATTGAAAATCTTGAAATTATATATGTTTCTTATTATCTTTCTTAATTATATTGTGTGTAGAGAGGTTTGTTAACTTTTCCAAAAAGTAGATTATTTATTTATAGGTTAGTTGTTTCTTCTTTTAGTAATTTCACTTGGAGGATAAATGTTAAAATTTGAAGCACAATAACTTTTGTTGACCTTTAAAAAGGTATATTTTTATTTGAAAGGTACAGTGTTGGATAATTTTACTAAAATAACATAATTATTTACACACCGTCTTATATAATTACCCTGTTTTAGTTCCTATGAACCTTATTATAAACCAGCAATATTTCTTCTGGCCTATGTATAAGCTTTTATTTTTATATTTAAATAAAGCTATTTAATGAAAGAAATACCATTGTGTATTTTTAAATTATAGACAGTAGATTTACTCAAATAAAAATTTCTTCTCTCTTCTAGTTGACAAACTTGTTTCTGATTTGCATTTCTCTAGTTTATATATCTACAATCACAGCAGTTTCCTATACTAATGTAATCATTTCTGCATACACTAAGGGTGTCTTATTTACAATATGACATGTAAAATATTTTAACAACAGTTATTGTTTTGCAATTGTATAGTTTTTATTATTTTCATTTTTCTTGTTGAAGATACTTATTCTCTCTTTTTCTCTTTCATAATTTACTATATCTTTCTTTCTTTCTTTCTTTCTTTCTTTCTTTCTTTCTTTCTTTCTTCTTTTTTTGAGACAGAGTCTCCCTCTGTTGCCCAGGCTGGAGTGAAGTGGCGCTATCTCAGCTCACTGCAAGCTCTGCCTCCCGGGTTCACACCATTCTCCTGCCTCAGCTTCCTGAGTAGCTGGGACTACAGGCATCCACCACCATGCCCCGCTAATTTTTTGCATCTTCAGTAGAGACGGGGTTTCACTGTGTTAGCCAGGATGGTCTCCATCTCCTGACTTCGTGATCTGCCCGTCTTGGCCTCCCAAAGTGCTGGGATCACAGGCATGAGCCACCGCGCCCAGTCTTTTTTTTTTTTTTTTTAGACAGTTTTTGCTCTATTGCCCCAGGCTGCAGTCCAGCAGTGAGATCTAGACTCACTTCAACTTCCACCTCCAGGTTCAAGTGATTTTCCTGCCTCAGCCTCCCGAGTAGCTGGGATTACAGGGGCCCACCACCATGCACAACTAATTTTTGTATTTTTAGTAGAGACGACGGTTCGCCATGTTGGCTAGGCTTGTCTCGAAATCCTGACCTCAGGTGATCCACACAGCTCGGCCTCCCAAAGTACTGGAATTACAGGCGCGAGCCACTGTGCCCAGCCCAGTCCTTGTATTTTTAAGGTTTCATTTGTGTATTTTCTTTAGGAAAATATTTCAATAATTTATCACTGCAATTAGCTGAAGTTATAAAATTACTTCTGGATTTGGGAAGATTATATCTGAGCATGGCAAAGGATTAGAAATAATAGCTAGCAGCTGGGTGCAGTGGCTCACACCTGTAATCCCAGCAACTTGGGAGGCCGAGGTGGGCAGATCAGAAGGTCAAGAGACATAGACCATTTTGGCCAACATGGTGAAACCCCATCTCTACTTAAAAAATAAAATTAAAAAAAAATTAGCTTGGCGTGGTGGTGCATGCCTGTAATCCTAGCTACTCAGGAGGCTGACAAGAGAATTGCTTGAACTCGGGAGGCAGAGGTTGCAATGAGCCAAGGTTGCACCACTGCACTGCAGCCTGGAGACACAGCAAGACTCTGTCTCAAATAAATAAATAAATAAATAAATAAATAAATAAATAAAAGCTAACTTTTTCTATCTGCCAGGCACAGTGCTAAATACTTTGCATGAAGATGATAATTTCGAAACTAAACACAGAAGAGCAAGTGTAAAATAAGTAATTTCTTTCTTTCTTTTCTTTTCTTTTTTTTATTTTTTGTTTGACACAGTCTAGCTCTGTGGTCCAAGCTGGAGTGCAGTGGTGGGATCTCGGCTCACTTCAACCTCCACCTCCTGAGTTCAAGCAAATCTCCTGCCTCAGCCTCATGAGTAGCTGGGATTACAGGAATCCACCACCACAGACGGCTAATTATTTCTTTGTATACTTTTATTTAATTCGGCTTAGGTTACTTGTTTTTTAGTAGCAGTTTTGCATATATGGGATTGCTGTAAAAAATAAATGGTTTAAATATGTAGGATATTTAAAAGTCATTCTTTCTGCATTTGAGATTTTGAGGCTTTAAAGAGGGCAATATACGGGTAGAGACACAACCAAAAAAGAGAATTTCAGGCCAGTATCCTTGATGAACATTGATGCAAAAATCCTCAATAAAATACTAGCAAAACGAATCCAGCAGCACATCAAAAAGCTTATCCACCATGATCAAGTTGGCTTCATCCCAGGGATGCAAGGCTGGTTCAATATATGCAAATCAATAAATGTAATCAAGCATATAAACAGAACCAAAGACAAAAACCACATGATTATCTCAATAGATGCAGAAAAGGCCTTTGACAAAATTCAACAACCCTTCATGCTAAAAACTCTCAATAAATTAGGTATTGATGGGACGTATCTCAAAATAATAAGAGCTATCTATGACAAACCCACAGCCAATATCATACTGAATCGGCAAAAACTGGAAGCATTCCCTTTGAAAACTGGCACAAGACAGGGATGCCCTCTCTCACCACACCTATTCAACATAGTGTTGGAAGTTCTGGCCAGGGCAATTAGGCAGCAGAAGGAAATAAAGGGTATTCAATTAGGAAAAGAGGAAGTCAAATTGTCCCTGTTTGAAGATGACATGATTTTATATCTAGAAAACCCCATTGTCTCAGCCCAAAATCTCCTTAAGCTGATAAGCAACTTCAGCAAAGTCTCAGAATACAAAATCAATGTACAAAAATCACAAGCATTCTTAAACACCAACAACAGACAAACAGAGAGCCAAATCATGAGTGAACTCCCATTTACAATTGCTTCAAAGAGAATAAAATACCTAGGAACCCAACTTACAAGGGATGTGAAGGACCTCTTCAAGGAGAACTACAAACCACTGCTCAAGGAAATAAAAGAGGATACAAACAAATGGAAGAACATTCCATGCTCATGGGTAGGAAGAATCAATATTGTGAAAATGGCCATACTGCCCAAGGTAATTTACAGATTCAATGCCATCCCCATCAAGTTACCAATGACTTTCTTCACAGAATTGGAAAAAACTACTTTAAAGTTCATATGGAACCAAAAAAGAGCCCGCATCACCAAGTCAATCCTAAGCCAAAAGAACAATGCTGGAGGCATCACACTACCTGACTTCAAGCTATACTACAAGGCTACAGTAACCAAAACAGCATGGTACTGGTACCAAAACAGAGATATAGATCAATGGAACAGAACAGAGCCCTCAGAAATAGCGCCACATATCCACAACTATCTGATCTTTGACAAACCTGAGAAAAACAAGCAATGGGGAAAGGATTCCCTATTTAATAAATGGTGCTGGGAAAACTGGCTAGCCATATGTAGAAAGCTGAAACTGGATCCCTTCCTTACACCTTACACAAAAATCAATTCAAGATGGATTAAAGACTTAAACGTTCAACCTAAAACCATAAAAACCCTAGAAGAAAACCTAGGCAGTACCATTCAGGACATAGGCATGGGCAAGGACTTCAGGTCTAAAACACCAAAAGCAATGGCAACAAAAGCCAAAATTGACAAATGGGATCTAATTAAACTAAAGAGCTTCTGCACAGCAAAAGAAACTACCATCAGAGTGAACAGGCAACCTACAACATGGGAGAAAATTTTTGCAACCTACTTATCTGACAAAGGGCTAATATCCAGAATCTACAATGAACTCAAACAAATTTACAAGAAAAAAACAAACAACCCCATCAAAAAGTGGGCGAAGGATATGAACAGACACTTCTCAAAAGAAGACATTTATGCAGCCAAAAAACACATGAAACAATGCTCACCATCGCTGGCCATCAGAGAAACGCAAATCAAAACCACAATGAGATACCATCTCACACCAGTTAGAATGACAATCATTAAAAAGACAGGAAACAACAGGTGCTGGAGACGATGTGGAGAAATAGGAACACTTTTACACTGTTGGTGGGACTGTAAACTAGTTCAACCATTGTGGAAGTCAGTGTGGCAATTCCTCAGGGATCTAGAACTAGAAATACCATTTGACCCAGCCATCCCATTACTGGGTATATACCCAAAGGATTATAAATCATGCTGCTATAAAGACACATGCACACATATGTTTATTGTGGCATTATTCACAATAGCAAAGACTTGGAACCAACCCAAATGTCCAACAATGATAGACTGGATTAAGAAAATGTGGCACATATACACCATGGAATACTATGCAGCCATAAAAAATGATGAGTTCATGTCCTTTGTAGGGACATGGATGAAATTGGAAATCATCATTCTCAGCAAACTATCGCAAGAACAAAAAACCAAACACCGCATATTCTCACTCATAGGTGGGAATTGAACAATGAGAACACATGGACACAGGAAGGGGAACATCACACTCTGTGGACTGTTGTGGGGTGGGGGAGGGGGGAGGGATAGCATTGGGAGATATTCCTAATGCTAGATGACGAGTTAGTGGGTGCAGTGCACCAGCATGGCACATGTATACATATGTAACTAACCTGCACATTGTACACATGTACCCTAAAACTTAAAGTGTAATAATAATAATAATAATAAAGTACATCACCAAAAAAATAAATAAATAAAGAGGGCATTATAAAATGCCTCATGGAAAAAATTTTATTTTAACAATTATTAAAGTAAAATAAAAATTTGTGACTCATAACACACTTCATTTTTATCCTCTATTTTTTTTTTTTACAAATGGGACTTGGAATATTTTAAGATAAAATTTAAAAAATCAAGTAATTTTAATCGGAAATTTCAAAAAAATAAAACCCTGAATCCAATTCAAATTTCACTTACTTGAAAATTCTCACTGATATAAATTTATTTATATAAATGTGATATAACCAATAAAGATATACAATAGAGTCATTGTTAATTTGGGTAAAAAATTTTAAAAACAATGCAAACTTGTATTACCTCCATATGTATGTATGTACACATGTACACATATATGAATATTTATATATATTTTTGCATACACACCCCCTATATATACCTATGTATAAATGAATAACAATGGAATATCAGTTGGCTTCTACTACAACATTTGAAGGCCCATTGCACAATGGCCAGAACAGAGACGACATGGGAATGCAACTTAAAATTTCCAAGATGACTTGAATTGTATCTGAATTTCTGACAGGGCATAGAGAAATTAAAATCTTGTTTAATTATGCTTCTTTGTTTATTACTGGGAGAGCCTCACATGCAAAGCAGATCAGGATATTCTCTTACCAAATGTGTTAATTAACAGTCCATAATGTAAGGGTGACTCACATAGCAGATTCAATATCAAACAGGAAGGGCTTTTGTAGCCTGTTCTATTTTCAGTCAACCACAAACCACCCACCCCTGCTGAAATAAAAACTTAAAAGGCAGGTGGAGGAAAATATGTTCTAGACCAAGGGGTAGGTACCGGGTCTGCAAAAGACATAGTGTGCCACCCACAAACACACAAGTTCAAGGAGTGTAGCTCAATCCTTCAGAAAATTGGTTCTAACTTTCAAATCATTAGGGATCTTCTTTATAAAAGATATAGCAAACAAAAACACAAAATATACCCCTCTAAGATTATTAGGAAGTTAAAAAAAGTGGCTTGTAACTTTTAATAAATAACTAGGGAGGTAAGCTTGTTCATTTCTGAGATTCACAACTTTTATAAAGGCATTGTATTAATACTTGAATTGTGCTATGTTCAATAGAAGCAATGAGACATAAGCCATACTGAGAGAAGAAAAAAATTTTACAACAAGAAAATCTAATGCTGTTTAATTTCTTTAAATATTTATTAATTTCTGAATGCTATGTGATTGCTTTCATATTAATTGTTCAGTAGAGAAATTGAATACAATTGAATACAATTTCTCAGTTGAGAAATTAAATACAATGGATTTTAGTATGATGACATACTTGATGGGATAATTTTAAAATCATTATTTTAATTAAATGTAATACTTTAAGGTAGAATAATAAAAATAAAGGAAAACCGATTTTCTTTAAATTCCATCAATTATTTCTTTCTCACAATAATTAATATGTAATTTACCAATGATGTAGTAGATTAATACCAAATTCTCTTACTTTTGGTTTCATCAAAAAATGATGAGCATTTTTCTCTGATTGATGTTTAGTTACTTTCAGATGACTTGTAATCTTGTACTTTCAACATTGAAGTTTTTTTCACATATTGATACCAATCATTTTATGATATATCTGATTTTATAATTATGTATTTATTGTTTTCAAATGAGAGTTATGGTTGTATACAGTAAGAATTATAATAGAGGAAGTTATCTGGTGCTCCAGGAATTTAAATAAGAGAAGATATAAAGATCTCAGCCTTTGTATCAATATTTAAATTGGATCCTGAAAAATGAATGAAGATAGACAGAAAACAAGTAAAAAATGGTCTAAGCAGATGGAATAGAAGGAGTAAAAGGAGAGTAATAGAAAAGTGTGTGTGTCTTTGAAGGAACATAACCTGTTCTGGGTGTGGCTACAGCACAGGTTTGTGAAGGAAAATGTTAAATGATTGAGGAGAATGTCTCTCAATATCAGTGATTTTGTATTTTATCCTTCAATGATGGGACATAAGTAAACAATTTTTAAAAGCATGGTGGGTGTGTGTGTATATAAATATATAGCATATATATATAGTATATAGCATGTCTATACTTATACTATACACATACATATAGTGTGTGTGTATATATGTATGTATATATAGTATATATATATACTTATTTTCATTCTAGATAGAAGTTTTTGAGATGCAGTTAGAAGAAAAAGTCAGAAAGAATAGTCAAGATTATTCCAGCAGTACAGGCATGATGTGATGAATGACTAAATTAAAACATTAGCAGCAATACAGAAGAGAAATGGCGGAATAGAAAGGTAATTCAAGGTAGAAACATCTGAACTTAATAATTCATTTAGAAGGAAGAGACAAGGTATATATACTCTAAATTTTCTTGGCGACTGGCTTGATATTATCATCATTAGCTGAGATGGGCAATGCTTTAAAAGAAATAGATTTATTTGCCAAAATATAAAATGTGTTTATGGCTATGTCAAATTTGAGATGCAGGTGGTGAAGACAGAGGGGGAGAATCAGTTGACATTTTAAAATATAGGTCTGAAACCTACAAGAAAATATTGGAGTAAAAAAAAAATAAAGAAAATCAAACGTCAAAGGAAATGCTGGAAGTGTGGGAATGGATAAAAGGAGCACAGGAAAAGTGTGCAGAGCATTGTTACCCAAAGTGCTGTGGGAATTTTATACACGTATGAATACAACTTGCAAAACTCACAAATATTTTTGCTTCCCTGGATCATTTACTGGAGTCTTTTACATACACATTCTGAAGTATAAGGTATGCAGAATTTTCTAAGCATATCATAGAATTCCATTCCAAGAATACATTTCAGGAAAACTATTGTCAATCAGGGAAACATTGGTGCAGAATAGTAAGAAAATAAATACCCATTAAGACTAGTACTTACGGAGGAGGAGGAGCCAAGATGGCCGAATAGGAACAGCTCCGGTCTACAGCTCCCAGCGTGAGCGACGCAGAAGACGGGTGATTTCTGCATTTCCATCTGAGGTACCGGGTTCATCTCACTAGGGAGTGCCAGACAGTGGGCGCAGGCCAGTGTGTGTGCGCACCGTGCGCGAGCTGAAGCAGGGCGAGGCATTGCCTAACCTGGGAAGCGCAAGGGGTCAGGGAGTTCCCTTTCCGAGTCAAAGAAAGGGGTGACGGACGCACCTGGAAAATCGGGTCACTCCCACCCGAATATTGCGCTTTTCAGACCGGCTTAAGAAATGGTGCACCACGAGACTATATCCCACACCTGGCTCAGAGGGTCCTACGCCCACGGAATCTCGCTGATTGCTAGCACAGCAGTCTGAGATCAAACTGCAAGGCGGCAACGAGGCTGGGGGAGGGGCGCCCGCCATTGCCCAGGCTTGCTTAGGTAAACAAAGCAGCCAGGAAGCTCCAACTGGGTGGAGCCCACCACAGCTCAAGGAGGCCTGCCTGCCTCTGTAGGCTCCACCTCTGGGGGCAGGGCACAGACAAACAAAAAGACAGCAGTAACCTCTGCAGACTTAAGTGTCCCTGTCTGACAGCTTTGAAGAGAGCAGTGGTTCTCCCAGCACGCAGCTGGAGATCTGAGAATGGGCAGACTGCCTCCTCAAGTGGGTCCCTGACCCCTGACCCCCAAGCAGCCTAACTGGGAGGCACCCCCCAGCAGGGGCACACTGACACCTCACACGGCAGGGTATTCCAACAGACCTGCAGCTGAGGGTCCTGTCTGTTAGAAGGAAAACTAACAAACAGAAAGGACATCTACACCGAAAACCCATCTGTACATCACCATCATCAAAGACCAAAAGTAGATAAAACCACAAAGATGGGGAAAAAACAGAACAGAAAAACTGGAAACTCTAAAACGCAGAATGCCTCTCCTCCTCCAAAGGAACGCAGTTCCTCACCAGCAACAGAACAAAGCTGGATGGAGAATGATTTTGACGAGCTGAGAGAAGAAGGCTTCAGATGATCAAATTACTCTGAGCTACGGGAGGACATTCAAACCAAAGGCAAAGAAGTTGAAAACTTTGAAAAAAATTTAGAAGAATGTATAACTAGAATAACCAATACAGAGAAGTGCTTAAAGGAGCTGATGGAGCTGAAAACCAAGGCTCGAGAACTACGTGAAGAATGCAGAAGCCTCAGGAGCCGATGCGATCAACTGGAAGAAAGGGTATCAGCAATGGAAGATGAAATGAATGAAATGAAGCGAGAAGGGAAGTTTAGAGAAAAAAGAGTAAAAAGAAATGAGCAAAGCCTCCAAGAAATATGGGACTATGTGAAAAGACCAAATCTACGTCTGATTGGTGTACCTGAAAGTGATGTGGAGAATGGAACCAAGTTGGAAAACACTCTGCAGGATATTATCCAGGAGAACTTCCCCAATCTAGCAAGGCAGGCCAACGTTCAGATTCAGGAAATACAGAGAACGCCACAAAGATACTCCTCGAGAAGAGCAACTCCAAGACACATAATTGTCAGATTCACCAAAGTTGAAATGAAGGAAAAAATGTTAAGGGCAGCCAGAGAGAAAGGTCGGGTTACCCTCAAAGGAAAGCCCATCAGACTAACAGTGAATCTCTCGGCAGAAACCCTACAAGCCAGAAGAGAGTGGGGGCCAATATTCACCATTCTTAAAGAAAAGAATTTTCAACCCAGAATTTCATATCCAGCCAAACTAAGCTTCATAAGTGAAGGAGAAATAAAATACTTTATAGACAAGCAAATGCTGAGAGATTTTGTCACCACCAGCCCTGCCCTAAAAGAGCTCCTGAAGGAAGCGCTAAACATGGAAAGGAACAACCGGTACCAGCCCCTGCAAAATCATGCCAAAATGTAAAGACCATCGAGACTAGGAAGAAACTGCATCAACTAATGAACAAAATCACCAGCTAACATCATAATGACAGGATCAAATTCACACATAACAATATTAACTTTAAATATAAGTGGACTAAATTCTGCAATTAAAAGACACAGACTGGCAAGTTGGATAAAGAGTCAAGACCCATCAGTGTGCTGTATTCAGGAAACCCATCTCACGTGCAGAGACACACATAGGCTCAAAATAAAAGGATGGAGGAAGATCTACCAAGCCAATGGAAAACAAAAAAAGGCAGGGGTTGCAATCCTAGTCTCTGATAAAACAGACTTTAAACCAACAAAGATCAAAAGAGACAAAGAAGGCCATTATATAATGGTAAAGGGATCAATTCAACAAGAGGAGCTAACTATCCTAAATATTTATGCACCCAATACAGGAGCACCCAGATTCATAAAGCAAGTCCTCAGTGACCTACAAAGAGACTTAGACTCCCACACATTAATAATGGGAGACTTTAACACCCCACTGTCAACATTAGACAGATCAACGAGACAGAAAGTCAACAAGGATACCCAGGAATTGAACTCAGCTCTGCACCAAGCAGACCTAATAGACATCTACAGAACTCTCCACCCCAAATCAACAGAATATACATTTTTTTCAGCACCACACCACACCTATTCCAAAATTGACCACATAGTTGGAAGTAAAGCTCTCCTCAGCAAATGTAAAAGAACAGAAATTATAACAAACAGTCTCTCAGACCACAGTGCAATCAAACTAGAACTCAGGATTAAGAATCTCACTCAAAGCCGCTCAACTACATGGAAACTGAACAACCTGCTCCTGAATGACTACTGGGTACATAACGAAATGAAGGCAGAAATAAAGATGTTCTTTGAAACCAACGAGAAAAAAGACACCACATACCAGAATCTCTGGGACACATTCAAAGCAGTGTGTAGAGGGAAATTTATAGCACTAAATGCCTACAAGAGAAAGCAGGAAAGATCCAAAATTGACACCCTAACATCACAATTAAAAGAACTAGAAAAGCAAGAGCAAACACATTCAAAAGCTAGCAGAAGGCAAGAAATAACTAAAATCAGAGCAGAACTGAAGGAAATAGAGACACAAAAAACCCTTCAAAAAATCAATGAATCCAGGAGCTGGTTTTTTGAAAGGATCAACAAAATTGATAGACCGCTAGCAAGACTAATAAAGAAAAAAAGAGAGAAGAATCAAATAGACACAATAAAAAATGATAAAGGGGATATCACCACCGATCCCACAGAAATACAAACTACCATCAGAGAATACTACAAACACCTCTACGCAAATAAACTAGAAAATCTATAAGAAATGGATACATTCCTCGACACATACACTCTCCCAAGACTAAACCAGGAAGAAGTTGAATCTCTGAATAGACCAATAACAGGCTCTGAAATTGTGGCAATAATCAATAGTTTACCAACCAAAAAGAGTCCAGGACCAGATGGATTCACAGCCGAATTCTACCAGAGGTACAAGGAGGAACTGGTACCATTCCTTCTGAAACTATTCCAATCAATAGAAAAAGAGGGAATCCTCCCTAACTCATTTTATGAGGCCAGCATCATTCTGATACCAAAGCCGGGCAGAGACACAACCAAAAAAGAGAATTTTAGACCAATATCCTTGATGAACATTGATGCAAAAATCCTCAATAAAATACTGGCAAACTGAATCCAGCAGCACATCAAAAAGCTTATCCACCATGATCAAGTGGGCTTCATCCCTGGGATGCAAGGTTGGTTCAATATACGCAAATCAATAAATGTAATCCAGCATATAAACAGAGCCAAAAACAAAAACCACATGATTATCTCAATAGATGCAGAAAAAGCCTTTGACAAAATTGAACAACCCTTCATGCTAAAAACTCTCAATAAATTAGGTATTGATGGGACGTATTTCAAAATAATAAGAGCTATCTATGACAAACCCACAGCCAATATCATATTGAATGGGCAAAAACTGGAAGCATTCCCTTTGAAAACTGGCACAAGACAGGGATGCCCTCTCTCACCGCTCCTATTCAACATAGTGTTGGAAGTTCTGGCCAGGGCAATCAGGCAGGAGAAGGAAATAAAGGGTATTCAATTAGGAAAAGAGGAAGTCAAATTGTTCCTGTTTGCAGACGACATGATTGTTTATCTAGAAAACCCCATCGTCTCAGCCCAAAATCTCCTTAAGCTGATAAGCAACTTCAGCAAAGTCTCAGGATACAAAATCAATGTACAAAAACCACAAGCATTCTTATACACCAACAACAGACAAACAGAGAGCCAAATCATGGGTGAACTCCCATTCACAATTGCTTCAAAGAGAATAAAATACCTAGGAATCCAACTTACAAGGGATGTGAAGGACCTCTTCAAGGAGAACTACAAACCACTGCTCAAGGAAATAAAAGAGGACACAAACAAATGGAAGAACATTCCATGCTCATGGGTAGGAAGAATCAATATCGTGAAAATGGCCATACTGCCCAAGGTAATTTACAGATTCAATGCCATCCCCATCAAGCTACTAATGACTTTCTTCACAGAATTGGAAAAAACTACTTTAAAGTTCATATGGAACCAAAAAAGAGCCCGCATCGCCAAGTCAATCCTAAGCCAAAAGAACAAAGCTGGAGGCATCACACTACCTGACTTCAAACTATACTACAAGGCTACAGTAACCAAAACAGCATGGTACTGGTACCAAAACAGAGATATAGATCAATGGAACAGAACAGAGCCCTCAGAAATAATGCCGCATATCTACAACTATCTGATCTTTGACAAACCTGAGAAAAACAAGCAATGGGGAAAGGATTCCCTATTTAATAAATGGTGCTGGGAAAACTGGCTAGCCATATGTAGAAAGCTGAAACTGGATCCCTTCCTTACACCTTATACAAAAATCAATTCAAGATGGATTAAAGATTTAAACGTTAGACCTAAAACCATAAAAACCCTAGAAGAAAACCTAGGCATTACCATTCAGGACATAGGCGTGGGCAAGGACTTCATGTCCAAAACCCCAAAAGCAATGGCAACGAAAGCCAACATTGACAAATGGGATCTAATTAAACTAAAGAGCTTCTGCACAGCAAAAGAAACTACCATCAGAGTGAACAGGCAACCTACAACATGGGAGAAAATTTTCGCAACCTACTCATCTGACAAAGGGCTAATATCCAGAATCTACAATGAACTCAAACAAATTTACAAGAAAAAAACAAACAACCCCATCAAAAAGTGGGCGAAGGACATGAACAGACACTTCTCAAAAGAAGACATTTATGCAGCCAAAAAACACATGAAGAAATGCTCATCATCACTGGCCATCAGAGAAATGCAAATCAAAACCACTATGAGATATCATCTCACACCAGTTAGAATGGCAATCATTAAAAAGTCAGGAAACAACAGGTGCTGGAGAGGATGTGGAGAAATAGGAACACTTTTACACTGTTGGTGGGACTGTAAACTAGTTCAACCATTGTGGAAGTCAGTGTGGCGATTCCTCAGGGATCTAGAACTAGAAATACCATTTGACCCAGCCATCCCATTACTGGGTATATACCCAAAGGACTATAAATCATGCTGCTATAAAGACACATGCACACGTATGTTTATTGCGGCACTATTCACAATAGCAAAGACTTGGAACCAACCCAAATGTCCAACAATGATAGACTGGATTAAGAAAATGTGGCACATATACACCATGGAATACTATGCATCATAATACTATGCATCATAAAAAATGATGAGTTCATATCCTTTGTAGGGACATGGATGAAATTGGAAATCATCATTCTCAGCAAACTATCGCAAGAACAAAAAACCAAACACCACATATTCTCACTCATAGGTGGGAATTGAACAATGAGATCACATGGACACAGGAAGGGGAATATCACACTCTGGGGACTGTGGTGGGGTCGGGGGAGGGGGGAGGGATAGCATTGGGAGATATACCTAATGCTAGATGACACATTAGTGGGTGCAGCGCACCAGCATGGCACATGTATACATATGTAACTAACCTGCACAATGTGCACATGTACCCTAAAACTTAGAGTATAATAAAAAAAAAAAAAAAAAGACTAGTACTTACACAGTGGACATGAAAAAACTAGGCAGCAAGGAGTTATTAAAAAGAAAGCATGGGCTGGGCATTGTGGCTCATGCCTGTAATCCCAGCACTTTGGGAGGCCGAGGCGGGCGGATCACCTGAGTTTGGGAGTTTGAGACCAGCCTGACCAACATGAAGAAACCCCATCTCTACTAAAAATACAAAATTAGCTGGGCATGGTGGCACATGCTTGTAATCGCAGCTACTCAGGAGGCTGAGGCAGGAGAGTCTCTTGAACCTGGGAGGCGGAGGTTGCAGTGAGCTGAGATCACACTGTTGCACTACAGCCTGGGTGAAAAGAGGGAAACTTCGTCTCAAAAAAAAAGAAAAAAGAAAAAAAAGAAAGAAAAAATAAAAGAAAAAAGAAAAAAATGAAAGCATGGGGCCAATATTGAGTGGTCTTAAGGAAGTCAAGGTAGAAGGAAATTTAAAGAAGGAAATGAGAAGCAATGCAGAATGTTTAGAAAGGTCAATTAGGAAGCTCCCATAAATATTCTCACTATGTATTATAGGGAATTCATTTATATCTTCAAAAATACCACTCAAAAAAGATGGTAATTGTTGAAATGAGATTTCAATGGGTGAAAGAGGCTGGGCACAGTGGCTCATGCCTGTAATCCCAGCACTTTGGGAGGCCGAGGTGGATGGATCACGACGTCAGCAGTTTAAGACCAGCCTGGCCAAGATGTGAAACCCCATCTCTACTAAAAATACAAAAATTAAACGGGTGTGGTGTTGGGCGCCTGTAATCCTAGCTACTTGGGAGGCTGAGACAGGAGAATCGCTTGAACCCAGGAGGTGGAGGTCGCAGTGAGCCGAGAAGATGCCACTGCACTCCAGCCTGGGTGGCAGAGCAAGAGAAAGAAAAGAGAAAAGAAAAGAGAAGAGAAGAAAGAAAAGAAGGATGGAAGGGATTTTAAAAAGAGATGAGAAGTCAGTATACTGTTTTGGAGGAAGTGTAGTTTATGATTGTGGCTATAACTTGCTATGAATGGAAACAGCAACACACCACTGGATTTCAACTTTTGAGTGCTTAAGAAGGTGGAGTTGGTGATTAAAAGAATAATAATAATAATGCTAAGTGTGTAATAGTTGCTAAGTGTGTGGTGTCTGAACCCAGGATATCAGGATGTCTGGAACTGGGATTGAATCCCAGCTCTTCCACTTTCTGGTTATGTGAGTGACTGTAGGCAAATTACTTAATCTTTTAATGCTCCAGTTTCCCATATGTAAAATGAGAATTATAATAGTAAACTACTTCATGGCTTGTGAGGATGAAGTGCATGTAGAGTACTTAGTGAGTTCTCTTTGTGTATTATGTATTAGTTTCAAAATGCAGATTCTAGAGCCCTTAAATTCTCATTCAATAGGTATGAGGCAAGCACGGGCCAGGATTCTGCATTCTTTAAGGACGTGTGATTTCCTACATCTGCTGTGACAAAGTGGTTCACATTAGGTCGCTTAAAATGAGATAAAGTTATTCTTTTATGGTTCAGGAAGCTAGAAATCTTAAATGAAGGAGTTAGCAGTGCTGCATTTTTCTCTGAAGGACCTGGGAAAAAATCCTTTCTTGCTTCTACTAGCACCGGGTGATCACTGAGCTTCATTGTCATTGCTTGGCTGGAGGATACCTCACTTTGTTCTCTACCTCCATCCTCACATGGCCATCTCCTCCCTGTGTCTCTGTTTCCTCTTCCCTTCTTATGAGGATATCAACCATATTGAATTATGGCCCACTCTAATGCATTATGAGCTCATCTAGCATATCATAATTATACAGCATCTGCAAATAATTTGATTTCAAATTAAGTCATACTCACAGACATCAGGGGCTAGAACTCTAATATATATTTTTTCTTTTTGAAGACACAATCTAACCCACAAAAGGAGGGGAGCAGCTTAAGATCATAAACAACTCAAGTAACAAGACTGTGTGTTTAAAATAGCATTTAAATTTCTCCAAATGGCAGACAGCTTAATTCAGATCAATACCAATCAGGAGATAAACAAGTGTCTGTCTCCTGGTTGGCATTTACCTGAGATTAAAACATTATGGTAAAATACATTATCTTCAGTGATCTTTGGTTTAGGTGAGCATTCACAAGGCACACAGTTATTATCACTTGAGCCATCTCTCTCTAATAACTCTTTTCTAATCTGCTGGCCAACAATATCAGGTTCTTTCAAATCTCTGATTATCGGACCAAACCATAAGGTCCTCCACGTGAATTGGTAGAAATATTTTTTACAAAGGTAAGTGAAATTTTATTTACTTGATGGATTTCTCTTCTCCTTTGCACAAAGGGGTGACCCTTTGACAGCACAGGAAAAGAACAGGATAGAAATAGACTTTCAGAAGGAAGGGCCTTCCATAACAAGGAATGCCATCTGTAATCCAGACTTTTTTCTCCTCAGGAATCCAGTCATAGGCAAATCTCTATGAATCACAGATAAATAGAAAGAAGGGTGGAAGTGTGTCAGGAGTAGGATGCTGAAAATGTGAGTAGCCTGTTCATTAATTGATCCCTTGGAAACTGAGAAGGCAAAGTGGCATACATGCAATTTCCATGGAATGATGGAAGACTGGTTGTAGTTAGTATGATCCTATAATGCTCAGATCACAACGGGGTCACCCTTATTCATGACTGAGCATTCCTTCTTATTAGTATCCCAATGTGAAATTGTTTCTCAAAAAAGGAGGGGGCGGGTAATTTTTGTACAAAAGGCTTTTACTCCAAAATAAAGTGACTTGTATTGTATTTCTCCTCTGGAGCCTTGCCGCTGGCTCCATAGGAAAATTCTGCCTCTCATAGATACCTGAGGCATTGGATTCCCTAAACAAAATAGTAGATCCACTTGTACTGCAGGCCTCTGAAGTCCAAAACGTTTCTCTTTCTCTGAGTCCCACTCACAGCTGACATCCTTCTTGACATTTGCATTTTATTTAGAATACACATCCAAATATGTTTTATGTTGCCTCTAACATTCAAAAGAGCCTGTAACAGTCTTCTTTCCCTATCCCTTCCTTCCATTTGAAAGATGTTTGCTCCACATCACTTTCTACTGCGTTCTTAGACTCCCTGAAGGTAGGAAACCCACATTTTTGTCATTTGCTCGATGTGTCTTTCCTGAAGTCTATGGTAGCTGCTATTTTTCTCTAGAGCATATCAACCGGATGTTGTCCATGTATTCCATAAGTTATGTCCGTTTGGCTAGTGACATGGCCAGGGTTCCTGAGTACAAAATTGTGACACAGGCAAAAATAGTTATACTTCTACAGCTAAATAGTGAAGACACTCTGCCTGGAAAAAGTAAGAAATTTCAGGTATTTACCATTTATTTAAGATACAGAAAAATAATTTGCCTAAATGTATAGCAGGAAAAGGAGATAAGTGTATTCACTAAAGCAAGGAGACTACATCTGGATTTTAAATGTGTGCCCTCAGATAGGATTCCAGTACACAGTGGCTGGATTCTGAGTGTTTGTCCCTCACACAGGATTACAGAACACTGCTACGAGGTTCTGAATGGAAAAGGAAATATCTTCACATAAAGACAAGAAAGAAGCATTCTGAGAAACTTCTTTGTGATGTGTGCATTCACCTCACAGAGTTGAACTTTTCTTTTGATTTAGCACTTTTGAAATACTCTTTTTGTAGTGTCTGCAAGTGGATATTTGGAGGGCTTTACAGCCTATGGTGGAAAAGTAAATATCTTCACATCAAAACCAGATAGAAGCATTCTGAGAAACTCCTCTGTGATCTGTGCATTCATCTCACACAGTTGAATGTTTCTCTTGATAGAGAAGTTTTGAAACACTCTTTTTGTAGAACCTGCAAGTGGATATTTTGAGTGCTTTGGGACCTATGGTGGAAAAGGAAATATCTTCACATAAAAACTAGACAGAAGCATTCTGAGAAACTTCTTTGTGATGTGTGCATTCAACTCACAGAGTTGAAATATTCTTTTGATTGAGCAGTTTTGAAACACTCTTTTTCTAGTATCTGCAAAGTTGGAGGGCTTTTGGACCTCTAGAGGAAAGGGAAATATCTTCCCTTAAAAACTAGACAGAAGCATCCTGAGAAACTTCTTTGTGATGTGTGCCTTCATCTCACAGAGCTGAACATTTCTTTTGATTGAGCAGCTTTGAAACACTCTTTTGTAGAATCTGCAAGTGGACATTTGGAGCGATTTGAGGCCTATGGAGGAAAAGGAAACATCTTCACATAAAAACTACACAAATGCCTTATGAGAAACTTCTTTGTGATGTGTGCATTCATCTCACAGAATTGAACCTTTCTTTTGATTGAACAGTTTTGAAACACTTCTTTTGAAGGATCTGCATGTGGATATTTGGATCAGTTTGGGGCTTGTGGTGGAAAAGGAAATATCTTCAAATAAAAACTACACAGAAGCATTCTGAGAAAGTTCTTTGTGATGTGTGCATTCAACTCACACAGTTGAAGATTTCTTTTGATTGAGCAGTTTTGAAACAATCTTTTTGTAGTATTTGCAAGTGGATATTTGGAGTGGTTTGAGGACTATTGTAGAAAAGGAAATATCTTCACATAAATACTAGACAGAAGCATTCTGAGAAACTTCTTTGTGATGTGTGCATTCATCTCACAGAATTGAAACTTTGTTTTGATTGAGCAGTTTTGAAACACTCTTTTTGTAGAATCTGAAAGTGGATACTTGGAGTGCTTTGAGCACAATGGTGGAAAAGGAAGTATCTTCAATTAAAAACTAGACAGAAGTATTCTGAGAAACTTCTTTGTGATGTGTGCATTCGACTCACAGAGTTTAAACTTTCTTTTGATTGAGGAGTTTGGAAAATATCTTTTTGTAGAATCTGCAAGTGGATATTTGGAGCGCTTTGCGGCCTATAGTGGAAACGGAAATATCTTCACATAAAAACTAGACAGAAGCCTTCTGAGAAACTCCTTTGTGATGTGTGCATTCATGTCTCAGAGCTGAACCTTTCTTTTGATTGAGCAGTTTTGAAACACTATTTTTGTAGAATCTGCAAGTGGATATTTTGAGCGCTTTGTGGCCAATGGTGGTAAAAGGAAACATCTTCACGTAAAAACTGGACGGGAGCATTCTGAGAAATTTCTTTGTGATTTGTGCATTCAGCTCACAGAGTTGAACCTTTCTTTTGATTGAGCAGTTTGAAACCTCTTTTTGTACGATCTGCAAGTGGATAATTGGAGTGCTTTAAGGTCTACAGTGGAGAAGGAAATATCTTCACATAAAAACTACACAGAAGCATTCCGAGAAACTTCTTTGTGATTTGCGCATTCAACACACAGAGTTGAATTTTCTTTTGAGCAGTTTGAAACACTCTTTTTGTAAAATCTGCAAGTGGATATTTGGAGCGCCTTAAGGTCTATGGTGGAGAAGGAAATATCTTCACATAAAAACTGGACAGAAGCATTCTGATAAACTACTTTGTGATGTGTGCATTCATCTCACAGAATTGAAACTTTCTTTTGATTGAGCAGATTTGAAGCACACTTTTTGTGGAATGAACAAGTGGATATTTTGAGGGCTTTAAGTCCTATGGTGGAAACGGAAATATCTTCACCTAAAAACAACACAGAAGAAGTCTGAGTAAGTTCTTTCTGATGTGTGCATTCATCTCACAAAGTTGAACATTTCTTTGGATTCAGCAGTTTTGAAAAACACTTTTTGTAGTATCTGCAAGTGGATATTTGGAGCGCTTTGGGGCCTATGGTGGAAAGGGAAATATCTTCACCTAAAAACTACACCGAAGCATTCTGAGAAACTTCTTTGTGATGTGTACATTCATCTCACAGAGTTGAACCTTTCTTTTGATTGAGAAGTTTTGAAACACTCTTTTTGTGGAACCTGCAAGTGGATATTATTAACGCTTGGCAGCCTATGGTGGAAAAGGAAATATCTTCACATAAAAACTAGACAGAGGCATTTTGAGAAGCTCCTTTGTGATGTGTGCATTCATCTCACAGTGCTGAACATTTCTTTTGATTTAGCTGCTTTCAAATATTCTTTTTGCAGAATCTGCAAGTGGATATTTGAAGCGCTTTGAGGCCTACGGTGGAAAAGGAAATACCTTCACATAAAAACTAGACAGAAGCATTCTGAGAAACTTCTTTGGGGTGTGTGCATTCATCTTACAGAGTTGAACCTTTCTTTTGATTGAGCAGTTTTGAAACACTCTTTATGTATAATCGGCCAGTGGTTGTTTTGAGCGCTTTGAGTCTTCTGGTGGAAAAGGAAATATTTTCACATAAAAGGTAGACCGAAGCATTCTGAGAAACTTCTGTGTGATATGTGCATTCATCTCACAGAGTTGAACCTTACCTTTGATTGAGCAATTTTTAAACACTCTTTTTGTAGAATCTGCAAGAGGATATTTGGAGCGCTCTGAGGCCAGTGGTGGAAAAAGAAATATCTTCACATAACAACTAGACAGAAGCATTGTGAGAAACTTCTTTTTGATGTGTGCATTCATCTCACAGAGTTGAAGTTTACTTTTGGTTGAGCAGTTTTGAAACACTCTTTTTGTAGAATCTGCAAGTGGACATTTGGAGCTCTTTGGGGCCTATGGTGGAAAAGGAAATATCTTCACATAAAAACTACACAGGAGCATTCTCTGAAACATCTTTGTGATGTGTGCATTCATCTCACAGAGTTCAAACATACTTTCGATTGAGCAGTTTGGAAACACTCTTTTTGTAGAATCTGCAAGTGGATATTTTTAATGCTTGGCAGCCTATGGTGGAAAAGGAAATATCTTCACATAAAAACTAGGCAGAGGCATTTTGAGAAGCTCCTTTGTGATGTGTGCATTCTTCTCACAGTGTTGAACATTTCTTTTGATTTAGCTGCTTTCAAATATTCTTTTTGCGGAATCTGCAAGTGGATATTTGAAGCGCTTTGAGGCCTATGGTGGAAAAGGGTCTGCAAGTTAACATTTGGAGAGCTTTGAGGCCTAAGGCAGAAAACAAAATATTTTCATATTATAATTAGACAGAAGCATTCTGAGAAAGTTCTTTGTGATATGTGCATTCATCTCACAGAGTTGAAACTTTCTTTTGATTGAGCAGTTTTGACACACTCTTTTTGTAGAATCTCCAAGTGGACATTTGGAGCGCTTTGCGGACTATGGTGGAAATGGAAATTTCTTCACATAAAAACTGTTCAGAAACATTCTGAGAAACTTCTTTGTGATGTGTCCATTCGTCTGACAGAGTTGAATCTTTCTTTTGATTGAGCAACTTGGAAACTCTCTTTTTGTAGAATCTGCTAGTGGACAATTGGAACGCTTTGAGGCCTATGGGGGAAAACAAACTATCTTCACTTAAGTACTAGACAGAATAATTCTGAGAAACTTCTTTGTGATGGGTGCATTCATTTCACAGAGTTGAACCTTTCTTTTTTTTTTGAGCAGCTTTGAAAAACTCTTTTTATAGACTCTGCAAGTGGACATTTGGAGCTCTTTGCAGCATATGGTGGAAAAGGAAATGTCCTCACATAAAAACTAGACAGAAGCATTCTGACAAACTCCTTTGTGATGTGTGAATTCATCTCACAGAGTTGTGACTTTCTTTTGATTGAACAGTTTTGAAACAATCGTTTTGTAGAATCTACAATTGAACATTTGGAGCGCTTTGCAGCCTGTGGTGGAAAACGAAATATCTTCACATAAAAACTAGACAGAAGAATTCTGAGAAACTTCTTCATGATGTATGCATTCATCTCACAGAGTTGAACATAACTTTCAATTGAGCAGTTTTGAAACCCTCTTTTTATAGGAGCAGCAAGTGGACATTTGGAGGTCTTTGAGGCCTATGGTGGAAAAAGAAATATCTTCTCATTATAACTAGACAAAAACATTCTGAGAAACTTCTTTGTGATGTGTGCATTCATCACACAGAGTTGAACCTCTCCTTAGATTGAGCACCTTTGAAACACTCTTTTTGTAGGATCTGCAAGTGGACATTTGGAGTGATTTGAGGCCTATGGTGGAAAAGGAATTATCTTCACATAAAAACTATACAGAAACATTCTCACAAGCTTCTTTGTGATGTGTGCATTCAACTCACAGAGTTGAACCTTTCTTTTGACTGAGCAGTTTTGAAACACTCTTTTTGTGGAATCCGCAAGTGGACATTTGGTGCACTTTGAGGCATAAGGTGGAGAAGGAAATATCTTCACTTAACAACTAGGCGGAAGCATTCTGAGAAACTTCTTTGTGTTGTGTGCATTTATCTTACAGAGTTGAACCATACTTTTGATTGAGCAGCTTTGAAAAACTCCTTTTTAGACTCTGCAAGTGAACATTTTGAGCTCTTTGTGTCCTACAGTGGAAAAGGAAATATCTTCACATAAAAACTAGACAGAAGCATTCTGTGAAACTTCTTTGTGATGTGTGCATTCGTCTCACAGAGATGAACCTTTCTTTTGATTGAGCAGTTTTGAAACACTCTTTTCGTAGAATCCACAAGCAGACATTTGGAGTGCTTTGAGGCCTATGGTGGAAAAGGAAATATCTTCACATAAAAACTAGACAGAAACATTCTGAAAAACCTCTTTATGATGTCTGCATTCATCTCACAGGGTTGAAACTTACTTTCGATTGAGCAGTTTTGAAACACTCTTTTTGTAGAGTCTAGAATTGGACATTTGGAGTGCTTAGAGTCCTATGGAGGAAAAGGAAATATCTTGATATAAAAACTAGAGAGAAGCATTTTGAGAAACTCTTTGTGATGTGTGCATGCATTCATCTCACAGATTTGAACCTTTCTTTTGATCCAGCAGCTTTGAAACCCTCTTTTTGTAGCATCTAGTATTGGACATTTGGAGCGCTTAGAGTCCTATGGTGGAAAAGGAAATATATTCCCGTAAAAACTAGACAGAATCATTCAGAGAAAATTCTTTGTGATGTGTGCATTCATCTCACAGAGTTAAAGTGTTATTTTGATGGAGC
This sequence comes from Homo sapiens, assembly GCF_000001405.40. Taxonomy (NCBI): domain Eukaryota; kingdom Metazoa; phylum Chordata; class Mammalia; order Primates; family Hominidae; genus Homo; species Homo sapiens. Next base: position 18,274,809 of record NC_000014.9, on the reverse strand, counting down.
AGTTTGGAAAAACTATTTTTGTACGATCTGGATGTTTACATTTGGAGCGTTTTGAGGCCTATGGTGTAAAAGGAAATATCTTCAAATAAAAACTAGACAGAAGCATTCTGAGAAACTTTTTTTGTGATGGGTGCATTCATCTCACAGTGTTGAACATTTCTTTTGATTCAGCAGCTTTGAAACACTCTTTTTGTAGAATATGCAAGAGGACATTTGGAGTGCTTTGAGGCCAATGGTGGAAAAGGAAATATCTTCACATAAAAAGTAGACAGAAGCATTCTGAGAAACTTCTTTGTGACGTGTGCATTCATCTCAGAGTGTTGAAACTTTCTTTTGATTGAGCAGCTTTGAAACACTCTTTTTTTAGAATCTGCATGTGGAGATTTGGGGCACTTTGAGGCCAATAGTGGAAAAGGAAATATCTTCACATAAAAACGATTCAGAAATATTCTGAGAAATTTCTTTCTGATGTGTGCATTCATGTCACAGAGTTGAACCTTTATTTCATTGAGCAGTTTTTATTTATTTATTTATTTATTTATTTATTTATTATTGTTATACTTTAAGTTTTAGGGTACATGCGCACAATGTGCAGGTTAGTTACATATGTATACATGTGCCATGCTGGTGCACTGCACCCACTAACTCGTCATCTAGCATTAGGAATATCTCCCAATGCTATCCCTCCTCTCTCCTCCCACCCCACAACAGTCCCCAGAGTGTGATGTTCCCCTTCCTGTGTCCATGTGTTCTCATTGTTCAATTCCCAAGTATGAGTGAGAATATGCGGTGTTTGGTTTTTTGTTCTTGTGATAGTTTGCTGAGAATGATGATTTCCAATTTCATCCACGTCCCTACAAAGGACATGAACTCATCATTTTTTATGGCTGCATAGTATTCCATGGTGTATATGTGCCACATTTTCTTAATCCAGTCTATCATTGTTGGACATTTGGGTTGGTTCCAAGTCTTTGCTATTGTGAATAATGCTGCAATAAACATACGTGTACATGTGTCTTTATAGCAGCATGATTTATAGCCCTCTGGGTAAATACCCAGTAATGGGATGGCTGGGTCAAATGGTATTTTTAGTTCTAGATCCCTGAGGAATTGCCACACTGACTTCCACAGTGGTTGAACTAGTTTACAGTCCCACCAACAGTGTAAAAGTGTTCCTATTTCTCCACATCGTCTCCAGCACCTGTTGTTTCCTGACTTTTTAATGATTGCCACTCTAACTGCTGTAAGATGGTATCTCATTGTGGTTTTGATTTGCATTTCTCTGATGGCCAGTGATGGTGAGCATTTTTTCATGTGTTTTTTGGCTGCATAAATGACTTCTTTTGAGAAATGTCTGTTCATGTCCTCAAAAATCAATGTATAAACATCACAAGCATTCTTATACACCAACAACAGACAAACAGAGAGCCAAATCATGAGTGAACTCCCATTCACAATTGCTTCAAAGAAAATAAAATACCTAGGAATCCAACTTACAAGGGATGTGAAGGACCTCTTCAAGGAGAACTACAAACCACTGCTCAAGGAAATAAAAGAGGATACAAACAAATGGAAGAACTTTCCATGCTCATGGGTAGGAAGAATCAACATTGTGAAAATGACCATACTGCCCAAGGTAATTTACACATTCAATGCCATCCCCATCAAGCTACTAATGACTTTCTTCCCAGAATTGGAAAAAACTACTTTAAAGTTCATATGGAACCAAAAAAGAGCCCGCATAGCCAAGTCAATCCTGAGCCAAAAGAACAATGCTGGAGGCATCACACTACCTGACTTCAAACTATACTACAAGGCTACAGTAACCAAAACAGCATGGTACTAGTACCAAAACAGAGATATAGATCAATGGAACAGAACAGAGCCCTCAGAAATAATGCCACATATCTTTAACTATCTGATCTTTGACAAACCTGAGAAAAACAAGCAATGGGGAAAGGATTCCCTATTTAATAAATGGTGCTGGGAAAACTGGCTAGCCATATGTAGAAAGCTGAAACTGGATCCCTTCCTTACACCTTACACAAAAATTAATTCAAGATGGATTAAAGACTTAAACGTTCAACCTAAAACCATAAAAACCCTAGAAGAAAACCTAGTCATTACCATTCAGAACATAGGCATTGGCAAGGACTTCATGTGTAAAACACCAAAAGCAATGGCAACAAAAGCCAACATTGACAAATGAGATCTAATTAAACTAAAGAGCTTCTGCACAGCAAAAGAAACAATCATCAGAGTGAACAGGCAACCTACAAAATGGGAGAAAAGTTTCACAAACTACTCATCTGACAAAGGGCTAATATCCAGAATCTACAATGAACTCAAACAAATTTACAAGAAAAAAACAAACAACCTCATCAGAAAGTGGCGGAAGTACATGAACAGACATTGAGCAGTTTTGAAAAACTCTTTTTGTAATATCTGCAAATGGACATTTGGAGCGCTTTTTGGCCTATGGTGGAAAAGGAAATATCTTCATTTAAGAACTAGATGGAAGCATTCTGTGAAACTGCTTAGTGATGTGCGCATTCCTCTCACAGAGCTGAAACTTTATTTTAATTGAGCAGTTTTGAGAACTCTCATTTTGTAGAATCTGCAAGTGGACATTTGGAGCGCTTTGAGGCCTATGGTGGAAAAGGAAATATCTTCACATTAAAACTAGGCAGAAGCATTCTGACAAGTTTATTTGTCATTTATCTCACGGAGTTGCCATTTATCTCATGGAGTTGAACTTAACTTTCGTTAGAGCAGTTTTGAAACACTCTTTTTGTAGAATCTGCAAGTGGACATTTGGAGAGCTTTGAGTCCTGTGGTGGAAAAGGAAATATCTTCACACAAAACTAGACAGAAGCAATCTGACAAAGTTTTTGTGATGTGTGTATTCATCTCGCAGAGTGGAACCTTAATTTCGATTGAGCAGTTTTGAAACACTCTTTTTTGTAGAATCTGTAAGTGGACATTTGGAGCGCTTTGATGCCTATGGTGGAAAACGAAATATCTTCACATAATAACTAGACAGAAGCATTCTGAGAAACTTCTATGTGATGTGTGCATTCATCTCATAGGGTTGAAACTTTCTTTTGATTGAGCCACTTTGAAACACTCTTTCTGTAGTATCTGCAAGTGGACATTTTTGGTGCTTTGAGGCAATGGTGGAAAATGTAATATTTTCACATAAAAACTAGACAGAAGAATTCAGAGAAACTTCTTTGAGATGTGTGCCTTCATGTTACAGAGTTGAACTTTTCTTTTGATTGAGCAGTTTGGAAACAGACTTTTTGAAGAATCTTCAGGTGCACAATTGGAGCACTTAGTGGCCTACAGTAGAAAAAGAAATATGTTCACATAAAATCTAGACAGAAGCAATCAGACAAGAGCAGCTTTGAAACACTCTTTCTGTAGCATCTGCAAGTGGACATGTTTGGCGCTTTAAGGCAATGGTGGAAAAAGAAATATCGTCACACTAGAACTATACAGAAACATTCTGAAAAACTTCACTGAGATGTGTGGATTCATCTCACAGAGTTGAACCTTTCTTTTGATTGAGCAGTTTTGAAAGACTCTATTTGTAGAATCTGAATTTGGACATTTGGTGCACTTTGTGGCCCCTGGTGGAAAAGGAAATATCTCCACATAAAAATAGACAGAAGATTTCTGAGAAACTTCTTTGTGATGTGTGCATTCATGTCACAGATTTGAACCTTTCTGTTGATTGAGTATTTTGGAAACACTCTTTTTTAGAATCTGCAAGTGGACATTTGGAGCGCTTTGTGGCCTGTGGTAGAAAAGGAATTATCTTCAAATAATATCTAGACAGAAGCAATCTGAGAAACTTCTTTGTGATATGTGCATTCATCTCACAGAGTTAAGCCATTCTTTTGATTGAGCAGTTTTGAACCTCTCTTTTCGTAGACTCTGTAAGTGGACATTTCGAGTGCTTTGAGGCTTACGGTGAAAAAGGAAATATCTTCCCATAAAAAGTAGACAGAAGAATTCTGAAAAACTTTGTGATGGGCACGTTCATCTCACAGAGTTGAAACTTTCTTTTGATTGAGCAGTTTGGAAACCCTCTTTTTACAGAATCTGCAAGTGGACATTTGGAGCACTTTGCGGCCTATGGTAGACTAGGAAATATGTTCACATAAAATCTAGACAGAAGTAATCTGAGAAACAACTTTGTGATGTGTGCATTCATCTCACAGAGATAAACATTTCTTTTGATTGAGCAGTTTTGAAACTGTCTTTTTGTAGAATCTGCAAGTGGACATTTGGAGCGCTTTGAGGCCTATGGTGGAAAATGAAATATCTTCACATAAAAACTATATTGAAGTGTTCTGAGAAAGATTTTGTGATGTGCGCATTCATCACCCAGAGTTGAATCTTTCTTTCGAAGGACCAGTTTTGAAATACTCTGTAGAATCTTCAAGTGGACATTTCGAGTACCTTGAGGCCTATGGTTTAAAAGGAAATATCTTCACATAAAAACAAAACAGAAGAATTCTGAGAAAGTTCTTTGTGATATGTGCGTTCATCTCGCAGAATTGAGCCTTTCTTTTGATTGAGCAGTGTTGAAACCCTCTTTTTGTAGAATCTGCAAATGGTCATTTGGAGCACTTTGAAGCCTACGGTGGAAAAGGAATTTATCTTCACATAAAAACTAGAGAGAAGAATTCTGACAAACTTCTTTGTGATGTGTGCGTTCATCTCACAGAGTTGAAACTTTCTTTTGATTGAGCTGTTTGGAAAGACTCTTTTTGTAGAATCTGCAAGTGGACATTTGGAGCACTTTGTGGCCTATGATAGAAAAGGAAATATCTTCACATAAAATTCAGACAGAGCCAATCTGAGAAACTACTTTGTGATTTGTGCATTCATTTCACAGAGTTAAAACTTTAGTTTGGTTGAGCAGTTTTGAAACTCTCTTTTTGTAGAATCTGCAAGTGGACATTTGGAGCGCTTTGAGGCCTATGGTGGAAAAGGAAATAATTTCACATAAATACTAGACAGAAGAATTCTGAGAAACTTCTTTGTGATGTGTGTGTTCATCTCACTGAGTTGAACCTTCATTTTGATTGAGCATTTTGGAAGCACTCCGTTTGCAGAATCTGCAAGTGGAGATTTGGAGCGCTTTGCGGCCAGTGTTAGAAAAGGAAATACCTGCACATAAAATCTAGACAGAAGCAATATGAGAAAATTCTTTGTGATATGTGCATTCATCTCAGAGACTTAAACACTGCTTTTGATGGAGCATTTTTAAACTCTGTTTTTGTAGAATCTGGAAGAGTACATTTGGAGCGGTTTGAGGACAATGTGGAAAAGAAAATATCTTCACATAAAAACCAGATTGAAGAATACTGTGAAACTTCTTTGTGATGTGTGCGTTCATCTCACAGAGTGGAACCTTTCTTTTGATTGAGCTGTTTGGAAACACTCTTTTTGTAGAATCTGCAAGTGGACATTTTGAGCACTTTGTGGCCTATGGTAGAAAAGGAAATATCTTCACATAAAGTTCAGACAGAAGCAATCTGAGAAACTACTTTGTGATGTGTGCATTCATTTCACAGAGTTAAACTTTTCTTTTGATTGAGCTGTCTTGAAACTCTATTTTGTAGAATCTGCAAGTGGACATTTGGAGCGCTTTGAGGCCTATGGTAGTAAAAGAAACATCTTCACATAAAATCTAGACAAAAGCAATCTGAGAAACTTCTTTGTGATGTGTGCTTTCATCTCACAGGTTTAAAACTTTTGTTTGATTGAGCAGTTTTGAAACTCTCTTTTTGTAGAATCTGCAAGTGGGCATTTGGAGTGCTTTTAGGCCTATGGTGGAAAAGGAAATATCTTCCCATAAAAACTAGACAGAAGAATTCTGAGAAACTTCTTTGTGATGTGTGTGTTCATCTCACAGAGTTGAAACTTCCTTTTGATTGAGCAGTTTGGAAACACTCTTTTTGTAAAATCTACAAGTGGACACTTGGAGCGCTTTGGGGCCTAAGGTAGAAAAGGAAATATCTTCACATAAAACCTAGACAGAAGCAATCTGAGAAACTTCTTTGTGATGTGTGCATTCATCTCACAGAGTTGAACCTTCCTTTTGATTGAGCAGTTTGGAATCACTCTTTTTGTAGAATGTGCAAGTGGACATTTGGAGCGCTTTGCCGACTATGATAGAAAAGGAAATATCTTCACATTAAATCTAGAAAGAAGCAATCTGAGAAATCTCTTTGTGACGTGTGCATTCTTCTCACAGAGTTAAACATTCCTTTTGATAGAGCAGTATTGAAACTCTCTTTTTGTAGAATCTGCAAGTGGACATTTGGAGTGCTTTGAGGCCTATGGTGGAAAAGGAAATATCTTCACATAAAAACTAGACAGAAGAACTCTGAGAAACTTCTTTGTGATGTGTGCATTCATCTGACAGAGTTGAACATTTCTTTTGATTGAGAATATTTGAAACACTCTTTGTAGATTCTCTAAGTGAGCATTTGGAGCGCTTTGCAGCCTATGTTAGAAAAGGAAACAGTTTCACATAAAATCTAGACAGAAGCAATCTGAGAAACTTCTTTGGGATGAGTGCATTCATCTCACAGGGTTAACTCTTACTTTTGATTGAGCAGTTTTGAAACTCTCTTTTTGTTGAATGTGGAAGTGGACATTTGGAGCGCTTTGAGGCCTACGGTGGAAAACAAAATATCTTCACATAAAAACTCGACAGAAGCTTTTTTAGAAACTTCTTTGTGATGTGTGCACTGATCTCAAAGAGTTAAGCCTTTGTTTTGATTGAGCAGTTTTGAATCTCTCTTTTTGTAGAATCTGCAAGTTAACATTTGGAGCGCTTTGAGGCCTGTGGAGGAAAAGGAAATATTTTCACATCAAAACTACACAGAAGAATTCGGAGAAACTTCTTTGTGATGCTTTGTGATGTTTATCTCACAGAGTTGAACCTTTCTTTTGATTAAGCAGTTTGGAAACACTCTTTTTGTGGAATCTGCAAATGGACATTTGGAGTGATTTGCAGCCTATGTTAGAAAAGGAAATATATTCCCATAAAATCTAGATAGAATGAATCTGAGAAACTTCTTTTTGATGTGTGCATTCATCTCACAGAGTTAAAACTTTCTTTTGATTGAGCTGTCTTGAAACTCTCTTTTTGTAAAATCTGCAAGTGGACATTTGGAGCGCTTTGAGGCCTATGGTGGAAAAGTAAATATTTTCACATAAAAACTAAACAGAAAAATTCTGAGAAACTTCTTTGTGATTTGTGCTTACATCTCAAAGAGTTGAACCTTTATTTTGACTGAGCAGTTTGGAAGCACTCTTTTTGTGGAATATGCAAGTGGACAATTGGAACACTTTGTGACCTCTCGTAGAAAAGGAAATATCTTCACAGAAAATCTAGATAAAAGCAGTCTGATAAAGTACTTTATGATGTGTCCATTCATCTCACAGAGTTAAACATTTCTTTTGATTGAGCAGTTTTGAAACTCTCTTTTTGTAGAATCTGCAAGTGTACATTTGGAGTGGTTTGAGGTCTATGGTGGAAAAGGAAATGTCTTCAGATAAAAACTAGACAGAAGAATTCTGAGAAACTTCTTTGTGATGTGCGAATTCAACTCACACAGTTGAACCTTTCTTTTGATAGGGCAGGTTTGAAACACTCTTTTTGCAGAATCTGCAAGTGGACAATTGAAGCGCTTTGAGGCCTATGGTGGAAAAATAAATATCTTCCCATAAAAAATAGAAATAAGCATTCTCAGAAACTTCTTTGTGATGTTTGCCTTCAACGCACAGAGTTGAACATACCTCATCATAGAGCAGTTTTGAAACACTCTTTTAGTAGAATCTGCAAGTGGATATATGGAAAGCCTTGAGGCCTTCATTGGAAACGGGTACATCTTCACATAAAAACTAGAGAGAAGCATTCTCAGAAACTTCTTTGTGATGTATACATTCAACTCACAGAGTTGAACCTTTCTTTTGATAGAGCAGTTTTGAAACACTCTTCTTGTAGAATCTGCAACTGCATATTTGAACTGCTTCGAGGCATTCTTTGGAAATAGGATACCTTCACATAATCACTAGACAGAAGCATTGTCAGAAACTTCTTTGTGACGTGCGAATTTAACTCACAGAGTTGAACCTTTCTTTTGATAGGGCAGGTTTGAAACACTCTTTTTGCCGAAACTGCAAGTGGACATTTGAAGCGCTTTGAGGCCTATGGTGGAAAAGAAAATATCTTCACATAAAAACTAGACAGAAGCATTCTCAGAAACTTCTTTGTGATGTTAGCATTCCACTCACAGAGTTGGACACACTTTATCATAGAGCAGTTTTGAAACACTCTTTTAGTAGAATCTGCGAGTGGATATTTGGACCGCTTTGAGGCTTTCTTTGGAAATGGGAATATCTTCACATAATCTCTAGAGAGAAGTTTTCTCAGAAACTTCTTTGTGCTGTGTGCATTCAACTCACAGAATTGAACCTTTCTTTTGATAGAGCAGTCTTGAAACACTGTTTTTGTAGAATCTGCAAGTGGACATTTGGAGAGCTTTGAGACCTATGGCCGAAAAGGAAATATCCTCACATAAAATATAGACAGAATCATTCTGAGAAACATCTTTGTGATGTTTGCATTCAACTCACAGAGTTGAAGATACTTTATCATAGGGCAGTTTTGACACACTCTTTTAGTAGAATCTGCAAGTGGATATTTGGACCGCTTTGAGGCATTCGTTGGAAATGGGAATGTCTTCAGATAATCACTAGATAGAAGCTTTCTCAGAAACTACTTTGTGATGTGTACATTCATGTCACAGAGTTGAACCTTTCTTCTTATAGAGAAGTTTAAGAACCCCCTGTTTGTAGAATCTGCATGTGGGTATTTCGACCAGTTTGAGGTCTTCGTTGGAAACGGGTATATCTTCACATAAACTCTAGACAGAGGCATTCTCAGAAACTTTTTTGTGATGTGTGCATTCAACTCACAGAGTTGAACCTTTCCTTTGATAGAGCAGTTTAGAAACCCTCTTTTTGTAGAATCTCTATGTGGATATTTGGACCAGTTTGAGGTCTTCGTTGGAAACGGGTATATCTTCACATAAACTCTAGACAGAAGCATTCTCAGAAACTTTTTTGTGATGTGTGCATTCAACTCACAGAGTTGGGCCTTTCTTTTGATAGAGCAGCTTTGAAACACTCTTTTTGTAGAATTTGCAATTGGATATTTGGTCCGCTTTGAGGCCTTCTTTGGAAACAGGAATATCTTCACATAAACACTAGACAGAAGCATTCCCAGAAACTTCTTTATGAGGTGAGCATTCAACTCACAGAGTTGAACATACCTTATCATAGAGCAGCTTTCAAACTCTCTTTTTGTAGAATCTGCCAGCGGATATTTTGAGAGCTTTGAGGCCTAAGGTGGAAAAGGTAATATCTTTATATAAAAGCCAGACAGAAAAATTCTCAGAAACTTCTCTGTGATGTGTGCATTCAACTCACAGAGTTGAACATTTCTTTTGATAGAGCAGGTTTGAAACACTCTTTTTGCAGAATCTGCAAGTGGACATTTGGAGCGCCTTGAGGCCTATGGTGGAAAAGGAAATATCTTCACATAAAAACTAGACAGAAGCATTCTCAGAAACTTCTTTGTGATGTTTGCCTTCAACTCACAGAGTTGAACATACCTTATCATAGAGCAGTTTTGAAGCACTCTTTTAGTAGAATCTGGAAGTGGATATTTTGAATGCTTTCAGGCCTTCATTGGAAACGGGAATATCTTCACATAAAAATTAGACAGCAGCATTCTCAGAAACTTCTTTGTGATGCGTACATTCAACTAACAGAGTTGAGCCTTTCTTTTGATAGAGCTGGTTTTAAACGCTCTTTTTGTAGAATCTGCAAATGGATATTTGGACCGCTTTGAGGCCTTCGTTGGAAACGGGAATATCTTCACATAAACACTAGACAGAAGCATTCTTAGAAACTTCTTTGTGCTGTGTGCATTCAACTCACAGAGTTTAACCTTTCTTTTGATAGAGCAGGTTGAAACACTCTTTTTGCAGAATCTGCAAGTGGACATTTGGAGCGCCTTGAGGCCTATGGTGGAAAAGGAAATATCTTCACATAAAAACTAGACAGAAGCATTCTCAGAAACTTCTTTGTGATGTTTGCTTTCAACCCACAGATTTGGACATACTGTATCATAGAGCAGTTTTGAAACACTCTTTTCGCAGAATCTGCAAGCGGATATTTGGACTGCTTACCAGCCTTCATTGGAAACGGGAATATCTTCACATAATCACTAGACAGAAGCTTTCTCAGAAACTTCTTTGTGCTGTGTGCATTCAACTCACAGATTTCAAGCTTTCTTTAGATAGAGCAGGTTTGAAACACTCTTTTTGTATAATCTGCAAGTGGACATTTGGAGCGATTTAAGCCCTACAGTGGAAAAGGAAATATCTTCCAATAAAAACTAGACAGAAGCATTCTCAGAAACTTCTTTGTGACGTTTGCCTTCAACTCACAGTGTTGAACATACCTTATGATAGAGCAGTTTTGAAACAATCTTTTAGTTGAATCTGGAAGTGAATATTTGGAACTTTTTGAGGCCTTCATCAGAAACAGGAGTATCTTCACATAAAAATTAGACAGCAGCATTCTCAGAAACTTCTTTGTGATGTGAACATTCAACTCACAGAGTTGAACCTTTCTTTTGATAGGGCAGCTTTGAAACACTCTTTTTGTAGAATCTGTCCATGGACTTTTGGAGAGCTTTGTGGCCTATGGTGGAAAACGAAATATCTTCACATAAAAACTAGACAGAAGCATTCTCAGAAACTTCTTTGTGATTTGTGCATTCAACTCACAGAGTTGAACCTTTCTTTTGATAAAGCAGACATTAAACAGTCTTTTCATAGAATCTGCAAGAGGATATTTGGACCACTTTAAGTCCTTCATTGGAAACAGGAATATCTCACATAAACACTAGACAGAAGCATTCTCAGAAACTTCTTTGTGATGTGTGCATTCAACTCAGAGATGAACCTTTCTTTTGATAGAGCAGGTTTCAAACACTTTTTGTAGAATCTGCAAATGGACATTTGGAGCACTTTGAGGCCTGTGCTGGAAAAGGAAATGTCTTCCCATGAAAACTAGAGAGAATAATTCTCAGAAACATCTTTGTGATGTTTGCCTTCAACTGACAGAGTTGAGCATACCTTATCATAGAGCAGTTTTGAAACCATCATTTTGTAGAATCTTCAAGTGGAAATTTGGAGAGCTTTGAGGCCTAACGTGGGAAAGGAAATATCTTCGCATAAAAAGTAGACAGAAGCATTCTCAGAAGCTTCTTTGTGATGTTTGCATTCAACTGACAGAGTTGAAACTATTTTTTGGTAGAGCAGTTTTGAAACACTCTTTTTGTAGAATCTGCAAGTGGATATTTGAAGCGCTTTGAGGACTTCATTGGAAACTGGAATATCGTCACATAAACACTAGACAGAATTGTTCTCAGAAACTTCTTTGTGATGTGTGCATTCAACTCACAGAGTTGAACCTCTCTTTTGTTACAGGAGTTTTGAAACACTCTTTTTGCAGAATCTGCAAGGGGACATTTGGAGAGCCTTGAGGCCTATGGTGGAAAAGGAAATATCTTCACATAAAAACTAGACAGAGGCGTTCTCAGAAACTTCTTTGTGATGTTTGCATTCAACTCACAGAGTTGGACATACTTTATCATAGAGAAGTTTTGGTACACTCTTTTAGTAGAATCTACAAGTGGCTATTTTGACCGTTTATTGGCCTTCGTTGGAAATGGGAATATCCTTATATAAAAATTAGACAGAAGCATTCTCAGAAACTTCTTTGTGTTGTGTGCATTCAACTCACAGTGTTGAACCTTTCTTTTGACAGAGCAGGTTTGAAACACTGTTTTTGTAGAATCCGTAAGTGAACCTTTGGAGCACTTTGGAGCCTATGGTGGAAAAGGAAATATGTTCACATAAAAACTAGACAGAAGTATTCTCAGAAACTTCTTTGCAATGTTTGCATTCAACTCACAGAGTTGAACATACCTTATGATAAAGCAGTTTTGAAACACTCTTTTTGTAGAAACTGTAAGTGGATATTTGGACCGCTTTGAGGCCTTCGTTGGAAACGGGAATATCTTTACATAAAAACTAGACAGCAGCATTCTCATTAACTTCTTTGCGATATGTACATTCAACTCACAGAGTTGAACCTTTCTTTTGATAGAGCAGTTTTGAAACAGTCTTTTGGAGAATTTGCAAGTGGATATTTTTACTGCTTTGAGGCCTTCATTTGAAACGGAAATATATTCACATAAACACTAGAGAGAAGCATCCTCACAAACTTGTTTGTGATGTGTCCCTTCAACTCACAGAGCTGAAACTTTCTTTTGAGAGAGCAGATTTGAAGGACTCTTTTTATAGAATCTGCAAATGGACATTTGGAGCGCTTTAGAGGCCTAAGGTGGAAAAGGAAATATCTTCCCATAGAAACTAGACAGAAGGATTCTCAGAAACTTCTTTGTGATGTTTGTATTCAACTCACAGTGTTGAACATACCATTTCATAGAGCAGTTTTGAAACACTCTTTTTGCAGAAACTGCAAGTGGAAATTTGGAGAGCTTTGAGGCCTTCGTTGGAATCGGTTATATCTTCACGTAAACACTAGACAGAAGCATTATCAGAAACTTCCTTGTGATGTGTACATTCAACTCACAGACTTGAAGCTTTCTTTTGATAGAGCAGGTTTGAAACACTCTTTTTGCAGAATCTGCAAGTGGACATTTTGAGCGCTTTCAGGCCTACGGTGGAAAAGGAAATATCTTCCCATAAAAACTAGACTGAAGCATTCTCAGAAACTCATTTGCAATGTTTGCCTTCAACTCACAGAGTTGAAAATACTTTATCATAGAGCAGTTTTGAAACACTCTTTAGTAAAATCTGCAAGTGGATATTTGTAATGCTTTCAGGCCTTCGTTGGAAACGAGAATATCTTCACATAAAAACTAGACAGGAGCATTCTCAGAAACTTCTTTGTGATGTGTACATTCAATGCACAGAGTTGAACCTTTCTTTTGATAGGGCAGGTTTGAAACACTCTTTTTTTAGTATCGGCAGGAGGATATTTGGACCGCTTTAAAGCCTTCGTTGGAAGCCGGAAGATATTCACATAAACACTAGACAGAAGTATTCTCAGAAACTTCTTTGTGATGTGTGCATTCCACTCACAGAGATGAACCTTTCTTTTGATAGAGCAGGATTGAAACACTCTTTTTGTAGAATCTGCAAGTGGACATTTGGAGAGCTTTGAGGCCTATTGTAGAAAAGGAAATATCTTTATATAAAAATGAGACAGAAGAATTCTCAGAATTTTCTTTGTGATGTTCGCATTCCACTCACAGAGTTGAACATACCATTTCATAGAGCCTTTTGAAACATTCTTTGTAGAATCTGCAAGTGGATATTTGGACCGCTTTGAGGCCTTCGTTGGAAACGGGAATATCTTCACATAAGTACTAGACAGAGGTATTCTCAGAAACTTTGTGATGTGTGTATTCAACTCACAGAGCTGAACCTTTCTTTTGATAGAGCAGGTTTGAAACTTTCATTTTGTAGAATCTCCAAGTGGACACTTGGAGAGCTTTGTGGCCTATGGTGGAAAAGGAAATATCTTCACTTAAAAACTAGACAGAAGCACTCTCAGAAACTTCTTTTTGATATTTGCATTCAATTCACAGAGTAGAAACTTCCTTTCCATAGATCACTTTTGATACACTCCTTTAGTAGAATCTGAAGGGGATATTTGGACCACTTTGAGGCATTCGATGGAAACGGGAATATCTTCACATAATCACTAGACAAGGGTTCTCTGAAACTTCTTTGTGCTGTGTGCATTAAAATCACAGAGTTGAACCTTACTTTTTATAGAGCAGGTTTGAAACACACTTTTTGTACAATCTGTAACTGGACATTTAAAGTGTTTTGAGACCTATGGTGGAAAAGGAAATATCTTCCCATAAAAATTAGCTAGAAACTTTCTCAGAAACTTCTTTGGGTTGCTTGCATTCAACTCACAGAGTTGAACATATCTTATCATAGAGCTGTTTTGAAACATTCTTTTAGTAGAATCTGCAAGTGGATATTTGGAATGCCTTGAGGCCTTCGTTGGAAACTGGGATATCTTCAAATAAAAACTAGACAGCATCATTCTCAGAAACTTGTTTGTGATGTGTACATTCAGCTCACCGAGTTGAACCTTTCTTTTGATAGAGCAGTTTTGAAACACTCTTTTAGAAGAATCTGCAAGTGGATATTTGGACCGCATTGAGGCCTTCGCTGGAAATGGGAATATCTTCACATAAAAACTAAACAGCAGCATTCTGAGAAACTTTTTGTGATGTGTACATTCAACTAACAGAGGTGAAAATTTCTTTTGATGGATCAATTATGAAACACTCTTTTTGTAGTATCTGCAAGTGGATATTTGTACTGCTTTGAGACCTTCGTTTGAAACGGCAATATCTTCACATAAACACTAGACAGAAGCATTCTCACAAACTTCTTTGTGATGTGTGCCTTTAACTCACAGAGTTGAACCTTTCTTTTGATAGAGCAGGTTTGAAACACTCTTTTTGTAGAATCTGCAGGTGGACATTTGGAGCGCTTTGTGGCCTATGGTGGAAAAGGAAATATCTTCCCATAAAAACTAGACAGAAGTATTCTCAGAAATTTCTTTGTGATGTTTGCATTCAACTCACAGAGTTGAACATACCACTTCATAGAGCAGTTTTGAAACGCTCTTTTTGTAGATCCTGCAAGTGGAAATTTGGAGAGCTTTGAGGCCTTTGTTGGAATTGGGTATATCTTCACATAAACACTGGACAGAAGCATTCTCAGAAACTTCTTTGTGATGTTTGCATTCAACTACTCACAGAGTTGAACATAATTTATCATAGAGCAGTTTTGAAACACTCTTTTTGTAGAATCCGCTAGTGGATATTTGGACTGTTTTGAAGCATTCATTGGAAACGGGAATATCTTCATATAAAAACTAGACAGAAACATTCTCAGAAACTTCTTTTTGATGTGTGCATTCAACTCACAGAGTTGAACATTTCTTTTGATAGGGCAGTTTTGAAACACTCTTTTTGTAGAATCTGCAAGTGGACATTTCTGAACTTTGAGGCTTATGGTGGAAAAAGAAATACCTTCACATGAAACCTAGACAGAAGCATTCTCAGAAACTTCTTTGTGATATGTGCATTCAACTCACAGAGTTGAACCTTTCTTTTGATAGAGCAGGTTTGAAACACTCTTTTTGGAGAATTTGAAAGTGGACATTTGGAGAGCTTTGAGGCCTATGTGGAAAATGAGGTATCTTCACATAAAAACTAGACATAAGCAATATCAGAAACTTCTTTGTGATGTTTGCATTCAACTCACACAGTTGAACATACCTTTTCATGGAGGAATTTTGAAACACTTTTTTTGTAGAATCTGCTTGTGTATATTTGGACTGCTTTGAGGCCTTCGTTGGAAACAGGAATATCACTACATAAAAACTAGACAGAAGCATTCTCAGTAACTTGTTTGTGATGTGTGCATTCAACTCACAGAGTTGAACCTTTCTTTTGATAGAGCAGGTTTGAAACACTCTTTTTGCAGAATCTGCAAGTGGACATTTGGAACGCTTTGGGGCCTATGGTGGAAAAGGAAATATCTTCACATAAAAACTAGTCAGAAGCATTCTCAGAATCTTCTTTCTGATGTGTGCATTCAACTGACAGAGTTGAAGCTTTCTTTTGATAGAGCAGGTTTGAGGCACTCTTTCTGTAGCATCTGCATTGGACATTTGGAGCACTTTGAGGCCTATGGTGGAAAAAGAAATATCTTCCCATAAAAACTAGAGAGAAGCATTCAGAAACTTCTTTGTGATGTTTGCCTTCAACTCACAGAGTTGGAGATATCTTATAGAGCAGTTTTGAAACACTCTTTTAGTAGAATCTGCAAGTGAATATTTGGAACGCTTTGAGGCCTTCATTGCAAACGGGAATATCTTCACATAAAAACTAGACAGCAGCATTCTCAGAAACTTCTGTATGATGTGTGCATTCAACTCACAGAGATGAAACTTTCTTTTGATAGAGCAGTTTTGAAACACTCTTTTTGCAGAATCTACAAGTGGACATTTGAAGCGCTTTGAGGCCTATGGTTGAAAAGGAAATGTCTTCACATAAAAACTAAACAGAATAATTCTCAGAAATTATTTGTGATGTTTGCATTCAACTCACAGAATTGGACATACTTTATCATAGAGCAGTTTTGAAACACTCTTTTAGTAGAATCTGCAAGTGGATATTTGTACTGCTTTGAGACCTTCGTTGGAAATGGGAATATCTTCACATAAACATTCAACAGAAGCATTCTCATAATCTTCTTTGTGATGAGTGCATTCAACTCACAGAGTTGAAACTTTCTTTTCAAAGAGCTGTTTGAAACACTCTTTTTGTAGAATGTGCAAATGGACATTTGGAGCGCTTTGAGGCCTGTGGTGGAAAAGGAAATATCTTCACATAAAAACTAGACAGAAGAATTCTGAGAAACTTCTTTGTGATGTGTGCGTTCTTCTCACAGAGTTGAAACTTCCTTTTGATTGAGCAGTTTACAGACACTCTTTTTGTAGAATCTACAAGTGGGCATTAGGAGCCCTTTGCGACTTATGTTATAAAGGAAATATCTTCACATAAAATCTAGACAGAACCAATGTGAGAAACCTCTTTGTGATGTATGTATTCACCTCACAGAGTTTAACCTTTCTTTTGATCGAGCAGTTTTGATCCTCTTTTTTGTAGAATCTGCAAGTGGACATTTGGAGTGCTTTGAGGCCTATGGTGGAAAAGGAAATATCTTCACATAAAAACTAGGGAGAAGAATTCTGAGAAACTTCTTTGTGATGTGTGCGTTCATCTCACAGAGTTGAACCTTTCTTTTGATTGAGAATTATGGAAAAACTCTTTTTGTAGATTCTGTAAGTGGACATTTGAAGCGCTTTGCAGCCTAACTTAGAAAAGGAAATATCTTCACATAAAATCTAGACAGAAGCATTCTCAGAAACTTCTTTGTGATGTTTGCATGCAACTCACCGAGTTGAACCTTTCTTTTGATACAGCAGTTTTGAAACTCTCTTTTTGTTGAATGTGGAAGTGGACATTTAGAGCGCTTTGAGGCTTATGGTGGAAAAGGAAATATCTTCACATAGAAACTAGACAGAAGCATTCTCAGAAACTTCTTTGTAATATCTACATTCTACTCACAGAGTTGAATATTCATTTTCATGGGGAAGCTTTGAAACACTCTTTTTGTAGAATATGCTAGTGGATATTTGGACTGCTTTGAGGCCTTCATTGGAAACGGGAATATCTTCACATAAAAACTAGACAGAAGCATTCTCAGAAACTTGTTTGTAATGTGTGCATTCACTTCACAGAGTTGAAACTTTCTTTTGATAGAGCAGTTTTGAAACACTCTTTTTGTAGAATCTGCAAGTGGACACTTGGAACACTTTGAGGCCTATAGTGGAAAAGGAAATATCTTCCCATCTAAACTAGAGAGAAGCATTCTCAGAAACTTCTTTTTGATGTTTGCCTTCAACTCACAGAGTGGAACATACCTTATCATAGATTCGTTTTGAAACACTCCTTTAGTAGAATCTGCAAGTGGATATTAGGTACCCCTTGAGGCCCTCCTTGGAAACGGGAATATCTTCACATAAAATCTAGACAGCAGCATTTTCAGAAACTTCTTTGTGATGTGTACATTCAACTCACAGAGTTAAACCTTTCTTTTGATTGAGAAGTTCTGAAACATTCTTTTTGTAGAATCCGCTAGTGGACATTTGTAGCGCTTTTGGGCCTATAATGGAAAAGGAAATATCTTCACATAAAAACTAGACAGAAGTATTCTCAGAATCTTCTTTGTGATGTGTGACTTCAACTCAAATAGTTGAAACTTTCTTTTGATTCAGCAGTTTGGAAACACTCTTTTTGGAGATTCTGCAAGTGGACATTTGTAGCACTATGTGGACTATGGTAGAAAAGGTAATATCTTCAAAAAAAATCTAGACAGAAGGAATCTGAGAAACTCCTTTGGCATGTGTGCATTCATCTCACAGAGTTCAAACTTTCTTTTGACTGAGCAGTTTTGAAACACTGTTCTTGTAGAATTTGCAAGTGGACATTTGGATCGTTTTGAGGCCTATGGTGGAAAAGGAAATATCTTCACATAAAAACTTGACAGAAGAATTCTGAGAATCTCCTTTGTGATGTATGCGTTTATCTCACAAAGTTGAACCTTCCTTTTGATTGGGCAGTTTAGAAACATTCTTTTTGTAGAATCTGCAAGTGGACTATTGGAGTGCTTTGTTGCCTATGGTAGAAAAGGAAATATCTTCACATAAAATCTAGACAGAAGAAATCTCAGAAACTTCTTTGTGATGTGTGCATTCATCTCAGAGAGTTAAACCTTTCTTTTGGTTGAGTAGTTTTGAAGTTCTCTTTTTGTAGAATCTGCAAGTGGACATTTTGAGTGCTTTGAGGCCTACAGTGGGAAAGGAAATATCTTCACATAAAAACTAGACAGAAGAATTCTGAGAAACTTCTTTGTGATGTGTGCGTTCTTCTCACAGAGTTAAAACTTCCTTTTGATTGAGCAGTTTGCAGACACTCTTTTTGTAGAATCTGCAAGTGGACTATTAGAGTGCTTTGTTGCCTATGTTATAAAAGGAAATATCTTCACATAAAATCTAGACAGAACCAATGTGAGAAACCTCTTTGTGATGTGTGCGTTCATCTCACAGAGTTAAAGCAATCTTTTGATTGAGCAGTTTTGAAACTCTTTTTTTGTAGAATCTGCAAGTGAACATTTGGAGTGCTTTGAGGCCTATGGTGGAAAAGGAAATATCTTCACCTAAAAACTAGAGAGAAGAATTCTGAGAAACTTCTTTGTGATGTGTGCATTCATCTCACAGAGTTGAACCTTTCTTTTGATTAAGAATTATGGAAGCACTCTTTTTGTAGATTCTGTAAGTAGGCATTTGAAGCACTTTGCAGCCTATGTTAGAAAAGGAAATATCCTCACATAAAATCTAGACAAAAGCAATGTGAGAAACTTCCTTGGGATGTGTGCATTCATCTCACAGGGTTAACTCTTACTTCTGATTGAGCAGTTTTGAAACTCTCTTTTTGTTGAATGTGGAAGTGGACATTTGGAGTGCTTTGAGGCTTATGGTGGAAAAGGAAATATCTTCACATAGAAACTAGACAGAAGCATTTTTAGAAACTTCTTTGTGATGTGTGCACTGATCTCACAGAGTTAAGCCTTTGTTTTGATTGAGCAGTTTTGAATCTCTCTTTTTGTAGAATCTGCAAGTTAACATTTGGAGCGCTTTGAGGCCTGTGGAGGAAAAGGAAATATTTTCACATCAAAACTACACAGAAGAATTTGGAGAAGCTTCTTTGAGATGCATGCGTTTATCTCACAGAGTTGAACCTTTCTTATGATTAAGCAGTTTGGAAAAACTCTTTTTGTGGAATTTGCAACTGGACATTTGGAGCGCTTTGTGGTCTATGGTAGAAAAGAAAATATCTTCACATAAAATCTAGATAAAAGCAATCTGACAAACCTCTTTGTGGTGTGTGCATTCATCTCACAGAGTAAACCTTTCTTTTGATTGAACGGTTTTGAAACTCTCTTTTCGTAGAATCTGCAAGTGGACATTTGGAGCGCTTTGAGGACTGTGGTGGAAAAGGTAATATCTTCACATAAAAACTAGACAGAAGAATTCTGACAAACTTCTTGGTAATGTGTGCTTTCATCTCACAGACTTGAACCTTTCTTTTGATTGAGCAGTTTGGAAACACTCTTTTTTGTAGAATCTGCAAATGGACATTTGAAGCACTTTGCGACCTATGGTAGAAAAAGTAATACCTTCACATAAAATCTAGAGAGAAGCAATCGGAGAAACTTCTTAGTGATGGGTGCATTCATCTCACAGAGTTTAAACTTTCTTTTGATTCAGCAGTTTTGAAACTCTCTTTTTGTAGAATCTGCAAGTGGACATTTGGAACGCTTTGAGGCCTATGGTGGAAAAGGAAATATCCTCACATAAAAACTAGAAAGAATAATTCTGACAAACTTCTTTTTGATGTGTGCGTTCTTCTCACAGAGTGGAACCGTTCTTTTGGTTGAGCAGTTTGGTACCACTCTTTCTTGTAGAGTCTGCAAGTGGACATTTGGAGCACTTTGTGGTCTATGGTAGAAAAGTAAATATCTTCACATAAAATCTAGACAGAAGCAATATGAGAAACTTGTTTGTGATATATGCATTCATCTCACAGAGATAACCGTTTCTTTTGATTGAGCAGTTTTGAAACTCTCTTTTTGTAGAATCTGCAAGTGGACATTTAGAGCGTCTTGAGGCCTATGGTGGAACAGGAAATATCTTCACATAAAAATTAGACAGAAGAATTCTGAGAAACTTCTTTGTGACGAGTGTGTTCATCTCACAGAGTTGAACGTTTCTTTTGATTGAGTAGTTTGGAAACACTCTTTTTGTAGAATCTGCAAGTGGACATTTGGAACTCTTTGTGGCCAATGGTAGAAAAGGAAATATCTTCACATAAAATCTAGACAGAAGCAATCTGAGAAACTTCTTTGTGATGCGTGCATTAATCTCACAGAGTTAAACCTTTCTTTTGGTTGAGCAGATTGGAAACTCTCTTTTTGTAGAATCTGCAAGTGGACATTTGTCAGCACTTTGAGGCCTGTGGTGGAGAAGGAAATATCTTCACATAAAAAGTAGATAGAAGCATTCTGAGAAAGTTCTCTGTGATGTCTGCATTCATCTCCTGGAGTTCTAACTTTCTTTAGGAGACCCAGTTTTCAAATACTCTTTTTGGATAATCTGCAAGGGGACATTTCAAGCACCTTGAGGCTTAAGTTGGAAAAGGAAATATCTTCACAAAAAAAAAAAGAAGAATTCTGAGAATCTTTTTTATGATGTGTACGCTCATCTAACAGAGTTGAACCTTTCTTTTGATTGCGTAGTTTGGGAACACCCTTTTTGTAGAATCGGCAAGTGGACATTTGGAGCGCTTTGCGGCCTATGATAGAAAAGGAAATATCTTCACATAAAATCTAGAAGGAAGCAACCTGAGAAACTCCTTTGTGATGTGTGCATTCATCTCACAGAGTTGAAACTTTCTTTTGATTGAGCAGTTTTGAAACACTCTCTTCGTGGAAACTGCAAGTGGATATTGGGAGTTCTTTGAAGCCTATTGTGGAAAAGGAAATATCTTCACATAAAAACTACTCAGAAGCATTCTGAGAAACACCATTGTGATGTTTGCATTCAACTCACAGAATTGAAACTACATTTTGATTGAGTAGTTCTGAATCTCTCTTTTTGCAGAAACTACAAGTGTATGTTTGGAAAGCTTTGAGGCCTATTGTGGGAAAGGAAATATCTTCACATAAAAACTACACAGAAGCATTCTGAGAAACTACTTTGTGAGGTGTTCATTCAACTCACAGAGTTGAAATTATCTTCTCTTTGAGGAGTTTTCAATCTCTCTTTTTGTAGAATCTGCAAGTGGATATTTGAAGACCTTTGAGCCCTATGGTGGAAAAGGAAATATCTTGAAATAAAAACTACACAGAAGCATTCAGAGAAACTTCTTTGTGATATGTGCATTGAACTCACAGAGTTGAACCTATCTTTTGATTGAGCAGTTTTGAATCTCTCTTTTTGCACAATCTGAAGGTGGATATTTGAGCCCTTTGAGGCCTACAGCGGAAAAGCAAATATCTTCACATAAAAACTATGCAGAAGCATTGTGAGAAACTACTTTGTGAGGTGTGCATTCAACTGACAGAGTTGAACTTATCTTCTCATTGAGCAGTTTTGAATTTATCTTTTGGTAGAATCTCCAAGTGGATATTTGGAGCTCTTTGAACCCTATGGTGGAAAAGGAAATATCTTCAAACAAAAACTACACAGAATCACTCAGAGAAACTGCTTTGTGATGTGTGCATTCATCTCACAGGGTTGAACTTAGCTTATGATTGAGCAGTTTTGAAACACTCTTTTTGTAGTATCTTCAAGTGGATATTTGGAGCGCTTTGAGGTCTACAGTGGAAAACCAAATATCTTCAAATAAGAACTACACAGAAGCATTCTGAGAAACTTCTTTGTGATGTGTGCATTCATCTCATAGAGTTGAAACTTTCTTTTGATTGAGCAGTTCTGAAACACTCTTTCTGCTGAATCTGCAAGTGGATATTTGGAGCCCTCTGCGGCCTATGGTGGAAAAGGAAATATCTTCAAATAAAAACTACACAGAAGCATTCTCAGAAACTTCTTCATGATGTATGCATTCAACTCACAGAGTTGAACCTATCTTTTGATTGAACAGTTTTGAATCTCTCTTTTTGTAGAATCTGCAAGTGGATATTTGGAGCGCTGTGAGGCCTACTGTGGAAAATCAAATATGTTCACATAAAAACTACAGAGAAGCATTCTGAGAAACTTCTTTGTGCTGTATGCATTCAACTCACAGAGTTCAACCTGTCTTTCAATTGAGCAGTTTTGAATCTCTCTTTTTGCAGGTTCTGCAAGTGGGTGTTGGGAGAGCTTTGAGGCCTATGGTGGAAAAGGAAATAACTTCACATAAAAACTACACAGAAGCATTCTGAGAAACTTCTTTGTGATGTGTGCATTCATCTCACAGAGTTGAACCTTTATTTTGATTGAGCAGTTTTGAAACACTCTTTTTGTAGAATCTGCAAGTGGATATTTGGAGAACTTTGAGGCCTATTTTGGAAAAGGAAATATCTTCACATAAAAACTACTCAGAAGCATTCCGAGAAACTTCTTTGTGATATGGGCATTCAACTCACAGAGTTGAACCTATCTTTTGATTGAGCAATTTAGAGTCACTCTTTTTCTAGAATCTGCAAGTGGATATTTGGAACCCTTTGCACCCTATGGTGGAAAAGGAAATATCTTCAATAAAAACTACACAGAAGCATTCTAAGAAACTTCTTCGTGATGTGTGCATTCAACTGACTGAGATGAACTTATCTTCTCATTGAGTAGTTTTCAATCTCTGTTTTGTAGAATCTGGAAGTGGATGTTTGGAGCCCTTTCACCCTATTGTGGAAAAGGAAATATCTGCAAATAAAACTACACAGAACCATTCAGAGAAACTTCTTTGTGATGTATACATTCAACTCACAGAGTTGATCCTATCTTTTGATTGAGCAGTTTTGAATCCCTCTTTTTGCAGAAACTGCAGGTGGATATTTGGAGCCTTTTGAGGCTTACTGTGGAAAATCAAATATGTTCACATAAAAACTACACAGAAAGATTCTGAGAAACTTCTTTGCGATGTGTGCATTCAAGTCACAGAGTTGAACCTATCTTTCGATTGAGCAGTTTTGAATCTCTCTTTTTGCAGAACCTGTATGTGGATGTTTGGAGAGCTTGGAGGCCTATTGTGGAAAAGGAAATATCTTCACATAAAAACTACACAGAAACATTCTGGGAAACTTCTTTGTGAGGTGTGCATTCAACTCACAGATTTGATCTTATCTTCTCATTGAGCAGTTTTGAATCTCTCTTTTTGTAGAATCTGCAAGTGGATATTTTGAGCCCTTTGAGCCCTGTGGTGCAAAAGGAAATATCTTGAAATAAAAACTACAAAGGAGCATTCAGACAAACTTCTTTGTGATGTATGCATTCAACTCACAGAGTTGAACGTACCTTTTGATTGAGCAGTTTCGAATCTCTCTTTTTGCAAAATCTGCAGGTGGATATTTGGAGCCCTTTGAGGCCTACTGTGGAAAAGCAAATATCTTCACATAAAAATTACACAGAAGCATTCTGAGAAACTACTTAGTGACGTGTGCATTCATCTCACAGGGTTGAATCTATCTCATGATTGAGCAGTTTTGAAACACTATTTTTGTAGAATATGGAAGTGGATATTTGGAGCCCATTGAGGCCTACAGTGTAAAGAAAATATCTTCACATAAAAACAACACAGAAGGATTCTGAGAAACTTCTTTGTGATGTGTGCATTCATCTCACTGAGTTGAACCTTTCTTTACATTGCGCAGTTTTGAAACACCGTTTTTGTAGAATCTGCAAGTGGATATTTGGAGAACTTTGCCGCCTATTGTGGAAAAGGAAACATCTTCACATAAAAACTACTCAGAAGCATTCCGAGAAACTTCTTTGTGATGTGGGCATTCAACTCACAGAGTTGAACCTATCTTTTGATTGAGCAGTTTAGAGTCTCTCTTTTTCTATAATCTGCAAGAGGATATTTGGAGCCCTTTGCGCCCTATGGTGGAAAAGGAAATATCTTCAATAAAAACTACACAGAAGCATTCTAAGAAACTTCTTCGTGATGTGTACAGTCAACCCACTGAGTTGAACTTATCTTCTCAATGAGCAGTTTTGAATCTCTGTTTTTGTAGATTCTGCAAGTGGATATTTAGAGCCCTTTTTGCCCTATGGTGGAAAAGGAATTATTTTCAAATAGAACTACACAGAATCATTCAGAGAAACTTCTTTCTGATGTATGCATTCAACTCACAGTGTTGAACCTATCTTTTGATTGAGCAGTTTTGAATACTTCTTTTTGCAGAATCTGCAGGTGGATATTTGGAGCCTTTTGAGGCCTGCTGTGGAAAATCAAATATGTTCACATGAAAACTACAAAGAAAGATTCTGAGAAACTTCTTTGTGATGTGTGCATTCAACTCACAGAGTTGAACCTATCTTTTGATTGAGCAGTTTTGAATCTCTCTTTTTGTAGAATCTGCAAGTGGATATTAGGAGCCCTTTGCACCCTATGGTGGAAAAGGAAATATCTTCAAATAAAAACTATATAGAAGCATTCAGAGAAACTGCTTTGTGATGTGTTCATTCAACTCACAGAGGTGAACTTATCTTTTGTTTGAGCAGTTTTGAATCTCTCTTTATGAAGAATCTGCAGGTGGATATTTGGAGACCTTCGAGGCCTACTGTGGAAAAGGAAATAACTTCAAATAAAAACTACACAGAAGCATTCTCAGAAACTTCTTCGTGATGTATGCATTCAACTCACAGAGTTGAACCTATCTTTTGATTGAACAGTTTTGAATCTCTCTTTTTGCACAATCTGCAAGTGGATATTTTGACCGTTGTGAGGCCTACTGTGGAAAATCAAATATGTTCACATAAAAACTAAACAGAAGCATTCTGAGAAACTTCTTTGTGAGGTGTGCATTCAACTCACAGAGTTGATCTTATCTTCTCTTTGAGCAGTTTTGAATCTCTCTTTTTGTAGAATCTGCAAGTGGATATTTGGAGCCCTTTGAGCCCTATGGTGGAAAAGGAAATATCTTGAAATAAAAACTACACAGAAGCATTCAGACAAACTTCTTTGTGATGTGTGCATTCAACTCACAGAGTTGAAAGTATCTTTTGATTGAGCAGTTTTGAACCTCTCTTTTTGCAGAATCTGCAAGTGGATATTTGGAGCCCTTTGAGGCCTACTGTGGAAAAGCAAATATCCTCACATAAAAATTACAGAGAAGCATTCTGAGAAACTACTTCGTGACGTGTGAATTCATCTCACAGGGATGAATTTATCTCATGATTGAGCAGTTTTGAAACACTCTTTTTGTAGAATATGGAAGTGGATATTTGGAGCCCACTGAGGCCCATTGTGTTAAGGAAATATCTTCACATAAAAACAACACAGAAGCATTCTGAGAAACTACTTTGTGATGTGTGCATTCATCTCACAGGGTTGAAACTTTCTTTTCATTGAGCAGTTTTGAAACACCGTTTTTGTAGAATTTTCAAGTCGATATTTGGAGAACTTTGAGGCCTATTGTGGAAAAGGAAACATCTTCCCATAAAAAATACTCAGAAGCATTCTGAGAAACTTCTTTGTGATGTGGGCATTCAACTTACAGAGTTGAACCTATCTGTTGATTGAGCAGTTTAGAGTTTCTCTTTTTCTAGAATCTGCAAGAGGATATTTGGAGCCCTATGCACCCTATGGTGGAAAAGGAAATATCTTCCATAAAAACTGCACAGAAGCTTTCTAAGAAACTTCTTAGTGATGTGTACATTCAAATCACTGAGTTGAAATTATCTTCTCAATGAGCAGTTTTGAATCTCTGGTTTTGTAGAATCTACAAGTGGATATTTGGAGCCAATTGTGCCCTATGGTGGAAAAGGAATTATCTTTAAATAAAACTACACAGAACCATTCAGAGAAACTTCTTTGTGATGTATGCATTCAACTCACAGAGATGAACCTATCTTTTGATTGGGCAGTTTAGAATCTCTCTTTTGAAGAAACTGCAAGTGGATATTTGGAGCCCTTTGCGCTCTGTGTTGGAAAATGAAATATCTTTAAATAAAAACAACACAGAAGTAGTCAGAGAAACTTCTTTGTGCTGTGTGCATTAAACTCAGAGAGTTGAAACTTCCTTTTGGTAGAGCAGTTTTGAAACACTCTTTTTGTAGAATCTGCAGGTGGATATTTGGAGCGCTTTGAGGCCTATGGTAGAAAAGGAAATATGTTCATACAGAAACTAGATAGAAGCATTCACAGAAACTACTTTGTGATGTGTGCATTCAACTCAAAGAGTTGAACATTCCTTTAGTCAGAGCAGGTTTGCAGCACTCTTTTTGTAGAATCTGCAAGTGGATACTTGGACTGCTCTGAGGCCTATGTTGGAAAAGGAAATATCATCACACAAAAACTAGACAGAAGCATTCTCAGAAACTTCTTTGTGATTTGTGCATTCAACTCATGGAGTTCACCATTCCTCTTAACAGAACAGTTTTGAAACACACTTGTTGTAGAATCTGCAAGTGGATATTTGGAGTGTTTTGAGGCCTTCGGTGGAAACGGGAATACCTTCACATAAACACTAGACAGAAGCATTCTCAGAAACTTCTTTGTGATGTGTGCATTCAATTCACAGAGTTGAACCTTCTTTTTGATAGAGCAGTTTTGAGACACTGTTTTTGTATAATCTGCAAGTGGACATTTGGATCGCTCTGAGGCCTACGGTGGCAATGGAAATATTTTTACATAAAAACCAGACAGAAGAATTCTCCGAAACTTCTTTGTGATGTGTGCATTCAACTCAGAGAATTGAACCTTTCTTTTGATACAGCAGGTTTGAAATACTCTTTTTGTAGAATCTGCAAGAGGACATTTGCAGCGCTTTGAGGCCAATGGTGGAAAAGAAAATAACTTCACATAAAAACTAGACAGAAGCATTCTCAGAAACTTCTTTGTGATGTTTGCATTCCACTCACAGATTTGAACATACCTTATCATAGAGCAGTTTTGAAACACTCTTTTAGTAGACTTCGCAAGTGGATATTTGGACTGCTCTGAGGCCTTCGTTGGAAACGGGAATACCTTCACATAAAGACTAGACAGAAGCATTCTCTGAAACCTCTTAGTGATGTGTGCATTCAACTCACAGAGATGAACTTTTCTTTTGATAGAGCAGGTTTGAAACACTCTTTTTGTAGAATCTGCAAGTTGACATTTGGAGAGCTTTGAGGCATATGGTGGAAAAGGAAATATCTTCACACAAAAACTAGACAGAAGCATTCTCAGAAACTTCTTAAGGATGTTTGCATTTAACTCACAGAGTTGAACATACCTTTTCATGGAGAAGTTTAGAAACACACTTTTTGTAGAATCTGCAAGTGGATATTTAGACCGCTTTGAGGCCTTCATTGGAAATGGGAATATCTACACATAAACACTAGAGAGAAGCATTCTCAGAAACTCCTTTGTGATGTGTGCATTCAAATCACAGAGTTGAACCTTTCCTTTGATAGAGCTGGTTTGAAACACTCTCTTTGTAGAATCTGCAAGTGGACATTTGGAGTGATTTGAGGCCTATGCTGGAAAAGGAAATATCTTCACATAAAAACTAGACAGAAGCATACTCAGAAACTTCTTTGTGGTGTTTTCATTAAGCTCACAGAGTTAAACCTTCCTTTTCATAGAGCAGTTTTGAAACACTCTTTTCGTAGGATCTGCAAGTTGACATTTGAACTGCTTTGAGGCCTAGGGTGGAAAAGGAAATAGCTTCACATAAAAACTAGACAGAAGCATTCTGAGAAACTTCTTTGTGATGTGTGAATTAAACTCACAGAGTTGAACTTTCTCTGATAGAGCAGTTTTGAACCAATCTTTTTGAAGAAACTGCAAATGGATATTTGGACTGCTTTGAGGCCTTCGTTGAAAACGGGAATGTCTTTACATAAACACTAGACAGAATCATTCCCAGAAACTTCTCTGTGATATGTGCATTCAATTCACAGAGTTGAACCTTTCTTTTGATAGAGCAGGTTTGAAACAATCTTTTTGGAGGATCTGCAAGTGAACTTTTGGAGAGCTTTGAGGCCTATGGTGGAAAAGGAAGTATCTTGATATAAAAAGCAGGCAGAAGAATTCTCAGAAAATTCTTTGTGATCTTGCATTCAACTCACAGAGTTGAACATACCTTTTGATAGAGCAGTTTTGAAACACTCTTTTAGTAGAATCTGCATGTGGATATTTTTACCGCTTTGAGGCCTTCTATGGAAACGGGAATATCTTCACATAAAAAATAGACAGAAGCATTCTCAGAAACTTCTTTGTGATGTTTGTTTTCAACTCACAGATTTCAACGTACCTTATCATAGAATAGCTTTGAAACACTCTTTTAGCAGAATCTGCACGTGCACATTTGGAGAGCTTTGAGGCCTGTGGTGGAAAAGGAGATATCATCATATAAAAACTAGACAGAAGAATTCTCAGAAACATCTTTGTGACGTTTGCATTCAACTCAAAGAGTTGAACATACCTTTTAACAGAGCAGTTTTGGAACACTCTTCGTGGAATCTGCAAGCGGATATTTGGAACGCTTTGAGGCCTTCGTTGGAAACGGGAATATCTTCACATAAAAACTAGACAGAAGCATTCTCAGAAAATTCTTTAGGGTGGTTGCATTCAACACACAGAGTTGAACATACCTTGTCCTAGAGCAGTTTTGAAACACTCTTTTTGTAGAATCTGCAAGTGGATATTTGGACCGCTTTGAGGCTTTCGTTGGAAATGGGAATATCTTCACATAAACAGTAGACAGAAGGATTCTCAGACTCTTCTTTGTAATGTGTGCTTTCAACTCACAGAGTTTAACCTTTCTTTTGATAGAGCAGGTTTGAAACACTCTTTTTGTAGGATCTGCAGTTCGACATTTTGAGAGATTTGAAGCCTATGGTTCAAAAGGAAATATCATCACATACAAAGTAGACAGAAGCATTCTCAGAAACTACATTGTGATGTTTGCATTCAAAACACAGAGTTGAACATAACTTTTCATGGAGCAGTTTTGAAACACTCTTTATGTAGAAGCTGCAAATGGATATTTGGATAGCTTTCAGGACTTCGTTGGAAACGGGAATATCTTCACATAAAAACTAGATAGAAGCATTCTCAGAAACTAGTTTGTGAGGTTTGCATTCAACTCACAGAGTTGAACATACTTTATCATAAAGCAGTTTTGAAACACTCTTGTAGTAGAAGCTGCAAGTGGATATTTGGACCGCTTTGAGGTCTTCGTTGGAAACGGGATTATCTTCACATAATCACTAGAGAGATGCTTTCTCAAAAACTTCTTTGTGCTGAGTGCATTCAACTCACAGAGTTAACCTTATTTCATAGAGCAGGTATGAAACATCCTTCTTGTAGAATCTACAACTGGACATTTGGAATGCTTTGAGGCCTGTGGTGGAATAGGAAATATCTTCACATAAAAACTAGACAGAAGCATTCTCAGAAACATCTTTGTGATGTTTGCATTCAACTCACAGAGTTCAAAATCCCTTTTCATAGAGCAGTTTTGAAACACTCATTTTGTAGACTCTACAAGTGGATATTTGGACTACTTTGAGGCCTTCGTTTTAAAAGGGAATATCTTCACATAAAAACTAGACAGAAGCGTTCTCAGAAACTTCTTTGTGATGTGTGCATTCAACTCACCGAGTTGAACATACTTTGTCATAGAGCAGTTTTGAAGCACCCTTTTAGTAGAATCTGCAAGTGGATATTTTGACCGCTTTGAGGCCTTCATTGGAAACAGGAATATCTTCACATAAAAACTAGACAGATGCATTCTCAGAAACTTCTTTGTGATGTGTGTATTCAACATAAAGATTTGAACCTTTCTTTTAATAGAGCAGGTTTGAAACACTCTTTTTGTAGAATCTGCAAGTGGACATTTGGAGAGCTTTGAGGCCTATGGTGGAAAAGGAATTATCTTCTCATAAAAACTACACAGAAGCATTCTCAGAAACAACTCTGTGATGTGTTCATTAAACACAAAGAGTTGAAGGTTTCTTTTGATATAGTAGATTTGAAATATTCTTTTTGTAGAATCTGTAAGTGGACATTTGGAGAGCTTTGAGGCGTATGGTGGAAAAGGAAATATCTTCACACAAAAACTAGACAGAATCATTCTCAGAAACGTCTTTGTGATGTTTGCATTCAACTCACAGAGTTGAAGATACCTTTCCATGGAGCAGTTTTGAGATACTCTTTTTGTAGAATCTGCAAGTGGATATTTGGACCGCTATGAGGCCTTCATTAGAAACAGAAATATCTTCTCATAAACACTAGACAGAAGCATTCTCAAAAACTTCTTTGTCATGCGTGCATTAAACTCAAAGAGTTGAACCTTTCTTTTGATAGAGCAGCTTTGAAACACTCCTTTTGTAGAATCTGCAAGTTGACATTTGGAGAGCTTTGAGGCCTATGGTGTAAAAGGTTATATCTTCATATAAAAATTAGAGAGAAGAATTCTCAGAAACTTCTTTGTGATGCTTGCATTCAACTCAGAGTTGAACATACCTTTTCATAGAGCAGTTTTGAAACAGTCTTTTCCTAGACTCTGCAAGTGGATATTTGGAACGCTTTGAGACCTTCGTTGGAAACGGGAATATGTTCACACAAAAACAGGCAGAAGCATTCTCAGAAACTTCGTTGTGATGTGTGCATTCAACTCAAAGAGTTGAAACTTTCTTTTGATAGAGCATGTTTGAAACACTCTTTTTGTAGAATCGGTACCGGATATTTTTAGAGCTATGAGGCCTATGGTGGAAAAGGAAATATCTTCAAATAAAAACCAGACAGAAGAATTCTAAGGAACTACATTGTGATGTTTGCGTTCAACTCATAGAGATGAACATACCTTTTCATCGAGCAGTTTTGAAATGCTCTTTTTGTAGAATCTGCAAGTGAATATTTGGACCACTTTGAGGCCTTCGTTGGAAATGGGAACATCTTCACATAATCACTAGATAGAAGCTTTCTCAAAAACTTTTTTGTACTGTGTGCATTCAACTCACGGACTTGTACCTTTCTTTTGATGGAGCAGTTTTGAAACACTCTTTTTCTAGAATCAGCAAGTGGATATTTGGAGTGCTTTGAGGCCTATGGTGGAAAAGGAAATATCTTCCCATAAAAACTAGACAGAAGCATTCTCAGAAAGTTTTCATGATGTGTGCATTCAATTCACAGAGTTGAACATACCTTATCATAGAGCACTTTTGAAACACTCTTTTAGTAGAATCTGCAAGTGGATATTTGGACCACTTTGAGGCCTTCATTGGAAACGGGAGTGTCTTCACATAAACCCAAGACAGAAGCATTCTCAGAAACTCCTTTGTGATGTGTGCATTCAACTCACAGAGTTGAACCTTCCTTTTCATAGAGCAGGGTTGAAACACTCTTTATGCAGGATCTGCAAGTGGACATTTGGAACTCTTTGAGGCCTATGGTGGAAAAGGATATATCTTCACATAAAAACTAGACAGAAGCATTCTCGTAAAATTATTTGTGATGTGCACATTCAAATCACAGAGCTGAACCTTTATTTTGGTAGAGCAGGTTTGAAACATTCATTTTGTAGAATCTGAAGTGGACATTTGGAGAGCTTTGAGGCCTATGGTGGAAAAGGAAGTATCTTCATATAAAAACTAGAGAGAAGCATTCTCAGGAACTTCTTTGTGATGTGTGCATTCAACTCACAGATTTGAACCTCTCTTTTCATAGAGCAGGTTTGAAAAACTCTTTTTGTAGAATCTGAAAGTGGACATTTGGAGAGCTTTGAGTCCTATGGTGGAAAAGGAAGTATCTTCACACAAAAACTAGATAGAAGCATTCTCAGAAACGTCTTTGTGATGTTTGCATTCAACTCACAGAGTTGAAGATACCTTTCCATGGAGCAGTTTTGAGACACTCTTTTTGTAGATTCTGCAAGTGGATATTTGGACGGCTATGAGGTCTTCATTAGAAACGGAAATATCTTCTCATAAACACTAGACAGAAGAATTCTCAAAAACTTCTTTGTCATGCGTGCATTAAACTCAAGGAGTTGAACCTTTCTTTTGATAGAGCAGCTTTGAAACACTCTTTTTGTAGAATCTGCAAGTTGACAATTGGAGAGCTTTGAGGCCTATGGGGTAAAAGGTTATATCTTCATATGAAAATTAGAGAGAAGAAATCTCAGAAACTTCTTTGTGATGCTTGCATTCAATTAAGAGTTGAAGATACCTTTTCATAGAGCAGTTTTGAAACACTCTTTCATAGAATATGCAAGTGGATATTTGGAATGCTTTGAGGCCTTCGTTGGAAACGGGAATATGTTCACACAAAAACAGGCAGAAGCATTCTCAGAAACTTCTTTGTGATGTGTGCATTCAACTCAAAGGGTTGAAACTTTCTTTTGATAGAGCATGTTTGAAACACTCTTTTTGTAGAATCGGTACCGGACATTTTTAGAGCTATGAGGCCTATGGTGGAAAAGGAAATATCTGTAAATAAAAACCAGACAGAAGAATTCTAAGGAACTACATTGTGATGTTTGCGTTAAACTCATAGAGATGAACATACCTTTTCATCGAGCAGTTTTGAAACACTCTTTTTGTAGAATCTGCAAGTGAATATTTGGACCGCTTTGAGGCCTTCGTGGGAAACAGGAATATCTTCACATAATCACTAGTCAGAAGCTTTCTCAAAAACTTTTTTGTACTGTGTGCATTCAACTCACGGAGTTGTACCTTTCTTTTGATGGAGCAGGTTTGAAACACTCTTTATCTAGAATCCGCAAGTGGACATTTGGAGTGCTTTGAGGCCTATGGTGGAAAAGGAAATATCTTCCCATAAAAACTAGACAGAAGCATTCTCAGAAAGTTCTTATGATGTGTGCATTCAATTCACAGAGTTGAACATACTTTATCGTAGAGCACTTTTGAAACACTCTTTTAGTAGAATCTGCAAGTGGATATTTGCACTGCTTTGAGGCCTTTGTTGGCAACGGGATTATCTTCACATAAACACTAGACAGAAGCATTCTCAGAAACTGCTTTGTGATGTGTGCATTCAACTCACAGAGTTGAACCTTTCTTTTCATAGAGCAGGTTTGAAACCGTCTTTTTGTAGAATCTTCAAGTGGACATATGGCGAGCGTTGAGGCCTATGATGGAAAAGGAAATATCATTATATAAAAACCAGACAGAATAATTCTTAGGAACTACTTTATGATGTGTGCTTTCAAATCACAGGGTTGAACATACCTCTTCATAGAGCAGTTTTGAAGCACTCTTTTTGCAGAATCTGCAAGTGGATATTTGAACCGCTTTGAGGCCTTCGTTGGAAAAGGGGATATCTTCACATAAACACTAGACAGAATCGTTCTCAGAAACTTCTTTGTGATGTGCGCATTCCACTCACAGAATTGAACCTTTCTTTTCATAGAGCAGGTCTGAAACACTTTTTTTTTGTAGATTCTGCAAGTTGACAGTTGGAGAGCTTTGAGGCCTATGGTGGAAAAGGAAATATCTATAAATAAAAACTAGACAGAAGCATTGTCAGAAACTTCTTTGTGATGTTTGCATTCAACTCACAGAGTTAAACTTCCCTTTTCATAGAGCAATTTTGAAACACTCTTTTCTTATAATCTGCAAGTGGATATTTGGACTGCTTTGAGGCCGTCATTGGAAATGGGAATATCTTCATATAAAAACTAGACAGAAGCATTCTCAGAAACTACTTTTGATGTATGCATTCAACTCACAGAGTTCAACCTTTCTTTTCATAGAACAGCGTTGAAACACTCTTTTTGCAGGATCTGCAAGTGGACATTTGGAGCTCTTTGAGGCCTATGGTGGAAAAGGATATATCTTCACATAAAAACTAGACGGAAGCATTCTCATAAACTTGTTTGTGATGTGTGCATTCAACTCACAGAGTTGAACCTTTCTTTTGATAGAGCAGGTTGGAAACATTCATTCTGTAGAATCTGAAGTGGACATTTGGAGAGCTTTGAGATCTATGGTGGAAAAGGAAGTATCTTCACATAAAAACTAGAGAGAAGCGTTCTCAGAAACTTCTTTGTGATGTGTGCATTCAACTCACAGAGTTGAACCTCTCCTTTCATAGAGCAGGTTTGAAACATTCTTTTCTTAGTATCTGCAAGTGGACATTTGGAGAGCTTTGAGTCCTATGGTGGAAAAGGAAATATCTTCACACAAAAACTAGACAGAAGCGTTCTCAGAAACATGTTTGTGATGTTTGCATTCAACTCACAGAGTTGAAGATACCTTTCCTTGGAGCAGTTTTGAGACACTCTTTTTACGGAATCTGCAAGTGGATATTTGGACCGCTATGAGGCTTTCTTTGGAAACGGGAATGTCTTCACATAAACACTAGACAGAAGCATTCTCAAAAACTTCTTTTTCATGCATGCATTAAACACAAAGAGTGGAACCTTTCTTTTCATAGAGCAGCTTTGAAGCACTCTTTTTGTAGAATCTGCAAATTGACATTTGGAGAGCTTTGAGGCCTATGGTGGAAAAGGTTATATCTTCATATAAAAATAAGAGAGAAGAATTCTCAGAAAATTCTTTACGATGTTTGCATTCAACTCACAGAGTTGAAGATACCTTTTCATAGAGCAGTTTTGAAACACTCTTTTCGTAGAATATGCAAGTGGATATTTGAAACGCTTTGAGGCCTTTGTTGGAAATGGGAATATGTTCACACAAAAACAGGCAGAAGCATTATCAGAAACTTCTTTGTGATGTGTGCATTCAACCCCAAGAGTTGAAACTTTCTTTTGATAGAGCATGTTTGAAACACTCTCTTTTTGTAGAATCTGCAAGGGGACATTTGAAGAGGATTGAGGCCTATGGTGGAAAAGTAAATATCTTCACATAAAAACTAGAGAGAAGCATGCTCAGAAACTTCTTTGTGAGGTGTGCATTCTACTCACAGAGTTGTACCTTTCTTTTGATAGAGCAGTTTTGAAACACTCTTTTTGTAGAATGTGGAAATGTATATTTGGACCACTTGGAGGCCTTCTTTGGAAACGGGAATATCTTCACATACACACTAGACAGAAGCATTCTCTGAAACTTCTTTGTGATGTGTGCATTCAACTCAAAGGGTTGAAACTTTCTTTTGATAGAGCATGTTTGAAACCCTCTTTTTGTAGAATCGGCACCGGACATTTTTAGAGCTATGAGGCCTATGGTGGATAAGGAAATATCTTTAAATAAAAACCAGACAGAAGAATTCTAAGGAACTACATTGTGATGTTTGCATTCAACTCACAGAGTTGAACACACCTTTTCATAGAGCAGTTTTGAAACACTCTTTTTGTAGAATCTGCAAGTGAATATTTGGACCGCTTTGAGGCCTTTGTTGCAAAGGGGAATATCTTCACATAATCACCAGACAGAAGCTTTCTCAAAAACTTTTTTGAACTGTGTGCATTCAACTCACAGAGTTGAACCTTTCTTTTGATAGAGCAGGTTTGAAACACTCTTTCTCCAGAATCTGCAAGTGGACATTTGGAGTGCTTTGAGGCCTATGGTGGAAAAGGAAATATCTTCCCATTAAAAACTAGACAGAAGCATTCTCAGAAACTTCTTATGATGTGTGCATTCAATTCACAGGGTTGGACATACCTTATCATAGAGTACTTTTGAAACACTCTTTTAGTAGAATCTGCAAGTGGATATTTGCACTGCTTTGAGGCCTTTGTTGGCAACGGGATTATCTTCACATAAACACTAGACAGAAGCATTCTCAGAAACTGCTTTGTGATGTGTGCATTCAACTCACAGAGTTGAACCTTTCTTTTCATAGAGCAGGTTTGAAACCGTCTTTTTGTAGAATCTTCAAGTGGACATATGGCGAGCTTTGAGGCCTATGATGGAAAAGGAAATATCATTATATAAAAACCACACAGAATAATTCTTCGGAACTACTTTATGATGTGTGCTTTCAAATCACAGGGTTGAACATACCTCTTCATAGAGCAGTTTTGAAGCACTCTTTTTGCAGAATCTGCACGTGGATATTTGGAACGCTTTGAAGCCTTCGTTGGAAATGGGAATATCTTCAAATAAACACTAGATAGAAGCATTATCAGAAACTTCTTTGTGATGTGTGTGTTCAACTCACAGAGTTGAAGCTTTCCTTTAATAAAGCAGGTTTGAAACACTCTTTTTGTAGAATCTGCAAGGGGATAATTGAACCGCTTTGAGGCCTTCATTGGAAAAGGGGATATCTTCACATAAACACTAGACAGAATCATTCTCAGAAATCTCTTTGTGATGTGTGCATTCCACTCACAGAATTGAACCTTTCTTTTGATAGAGCAGGTTTGAAGCACTTTTTTTGTAGAATCTGCAAGCAGACATTTGGAGAGCTTGGAGGCCTATGGTGGAAAAGGAAATATCTATAAATAAAAACTAGACAGAAGCATTGTCAGAAACTTCTTTGTGATGTTTGCATTCAACTCACAGAGTCGAACCTCCCTTTTCGTAGAGTAGTTTTGCAACACTATTTTCGTAGAATCTGCAGGTAGATATTTGGACTGCTTTGAGGCCTTCATTGGAAACGGGAATATCTTCACATAAAAACTAGACAGAAGCATTCTCAGAAACTACTTTGTGATGTGTACATTCAACTCACAGAGTTGAACCTTCCTTTTCATAGAGCAGGGTTGAAACACTCTTTTTGC
This sequence comes from Homo sapiens, assembly GCF_000001405.40. Taxonomy (NCBI): domain Eukaryota; kingdom Metazoa; phylum Chordata; class Mammalia; order Primates; family Hominidae; genus Homo; species Homo sapiens. Next base: position 18,237,598 of record NC_000014.9, on the reverse strand, counting down.
AGGATCCGCAAGTGGACTTTTGGAGCTCTTTGAGGCCTATGGTGAAAAAGGAAATATCTTCACATAAAAACTACACAGAAGCATTCTCAGAAAGTTCTTTGTGATGTTTGCTCTCAACTCACAGAGTTGAACATTTGTTTTCATAGAGCAGTTTTGAAACACTCTTTTTGTAGAATTTGCAAGGGGATATTTGGACGGATTTGAGGCCTTCTTTGGAAGCGGGAGTATCTTTATATAAAAACTAGACAGGAGCATTCTCAGAAACTGCTTTGTGATGTTTGCATTCAACTCATAGAGTTGAACATATCTTTTGATAGAGAAGTCTTGAAACAATCTTTTTGTAGTATCTGCAAGTGGACATTTGGAGTTCTTTGAGGCCTATGGTGAAAAAGGAAATATCTTCACATAAAAAGTAGACAGAAGCATTCGCAGAAACTGCTTTGTGATGTGTGCATTCAACTCACAGAGTTGAATCTTCCTTTCCATAGGGCAGTTTTGAAACACTCTTTTTGTAGAATCTGCAAGTGGACATTTGGAGCACATTGAGGCCTTCGTTCAAAACGGGAATATCTTCAGATAATAATTAGACAGAAGCATTCTCAGAAAATTCATGTGATGTTTGCATTCAATTCACAGAGTTGAACATTCCTTTTCATAGAGCAGGTTTGAAACACTCTTTTTGTAGAAATTGCAATTGGACATTTGGAGTGCTTGGGGTCCTAAGGTGAAAAAGGAAATATCTTCAAATAAAAACTAGACAGAAGCATTGTCAGAAACTTCTTTGTGATGTGTGTACTCAGCTCACAGAGTTAAACCTTTCTTTTGATAGAGCAGTTTTGAAACACTCTTCTTGGAGAATTTACAAATGGATATTTGGGAAGCTTTGATGCTTTCATTGGAAACGCGAATATCTTCACATAGAAACTAGACAGATGCATTCTCCGAAACTTCTTTGTGAAGTGTGCATTCAACTCGCTGTGTTGAAGCTTTCTTTTTATAGAGCAGATTGGAAACACTGTTTTTGTGGGATTCGCAAGTGGATATTTGGACAGCTTTGAGGCCTTCGCTGGAAACGGCAGTATCTTTATATAAAAACAAGACAGAAGCATTCTCAGAAACTTCTTTGTAATGTTTGCATTCAACTCACAGAGTTGAACATTCCTTTTCATAGAGCAGTTTTGAAACACTCTTTTTGTAGTATCTGCCAGTGGACATTTGGAGCTCTTTGAGGCCTATGGTGAAAAAGGAAATATCTTCATATAAAAACTAGACAGAAGCATTCGTATAAACTTCTTTGTGATGTGTGCATTCAACTCACAGAGTTGAACAGTCCTTTTCATAGAGCAGTTTGAAACACTCTTTTTGTAGAACCTGCAAGTGGACATTTGGAGAGCTTTGTGGCCTTCATTGGAAACGGTAATATCTTCACATAAAAACTAGACAGAAGCATTCTCAGAAACTTCTATGTGATGTTTGCATTCAACTCATAGAGTTGAACATACCTTTTCATAGAGCAGTTTTGAAACACTCTTTTTGTAGTATCTGCAAGTGGACATTTGGAGCACTTTGTGGCCTTCATTGGAAATGGGAATATGTTCACATAAAAACTAGACAGAAGCATTCTCAGAAACTTCTATGTGATGTTTGCATTCAACTCATATAGAGTTGAACATTCCTTTTCATAGAGCAGTTTTGAAACACTCTTTTTGTAGGATCTGGAAGTGGACATTTGGAGCTTGTTGAAGACTTCATTCAAAACGGGCATATCTTCACATAAAAACTAGACAGAAGCATTCTCAGAAACTTCTTTGTGATGTGTGCATTCAACTCACAGAGTTGTACCCTTCTTTTGATAGAGCAGTTTTGAAACACTCTCTTTGTAGAATCTGCAAGTTGACATTTTGTGTGCTTTGAGGACTATGGTGAAAAAGGAAATATCTTAGCATAAAAACTAGACAGAAGCATTCTCAGAAACTTCTTTGTGATGTGTGCAGTCAACACACAGAGTTGAAGCTTTATTTGACAGAGCGTTTTTAAACACTCTTTCAGTACAATCTGCAAGTGGACATTTAGAGCGCTTTGTGGCCTTCGTTGGAAACGGGAATATATTCACATAAATATTAGACAGAAGGATTCTCAGAAACTTCTTTGCTATGTGTGCATATAATTCACAGAGTTGAACATTCCTTTTCATAGAGCAGGTTTCAAACACTCTTTTTGTAGTATCTCCAACTGGATGTTTGGAAAGCTTTGAGCCTTTCGTTGGAAACAGTATTATATTCAAATAAAAACTAGACAGAGGCATTCTCAGAAACTTTTTTGTCATGCTTGCATTCAACTCACAGAGTTGAACATTCCTTTTCATAGAGCAGTTTTGAAACACTCTCTTTGTAGAATGTGCAAGTGGACATTTGGGGTGCTTGAGGTATATGGTGAAAAACGAAATATCTTAAGATAAAAACTAGACAGAAGAATTCTCATAAACTTCTTTGTGATGTGTGCACTCAACTCACAGAGTTAAACCTTTCTTTTGACAGAGCAGTTTTGAAGCACTCTTTTTGTAGAATCTGCAAGTGAATATTTGGGAGCTTTGAGGGTCTTGTTGGAAACGGGAATATGTTCACAAAACACTAGACAGTGGCATTCTCAGAAACTTCTCTGTGATGATTACATTCAACTCACAGAGTTGAACACTCCTTTTCAGAGAGTAGTTTTGAAACACTCCTTTTTAGTATCTGCAAGTGGACATTTGAAGCGCTTTGATGCCTTCGTTCGTAAAGGGCATATCTTCACATAAAAACTAGATAGAAGCAGGCTCAGAAACTTCTTTGTGATGTGTTCACTCAACACACAGAATTGAACCTTTCTTTTGATAGAGCGTATTTAAACACTCCTTTTGTAGAATCTGTATGTGGACATTTGGAGCGCTTTGTGGCCTTCGTTGGAAACGGGAATATATTCACATAAAAACTAGACAGAAGCATTCTCAGAGACCTCTTTGTGATGTTTGCATTTAAGTCAGAGTTGAACATTCCTTTTCATAGAGCAGTTTTGAAAGACTCTTTTTGTAGAATCTGCAAGTGGACATTCGGAGTGCATTGAGGCCTATGGTGAAAAAGGAAATATCTTCACATAAAAACTAGACAGAGGCATTCTCACAAACTTCTTGGTAATGCATGTATTCAACTCACAGAGATGAACCTTTCTTTTTCTAGAGCAGTTTTGAAACAATCTTTTTGCAGCATTTACAAGGGGATATTTGGATAGCTTTGAGACTTTGGTTGGAAACGGGAATATCTTCCCATAAAAACTAGACAGAAGCATTCTCAGGAAATTCTTTTTGATGTGTTTACTAAACACACAGAGATGAACTTTTCCTTTGCTAGAGCAGTTTTGAAACACTCTTTTTACAGCATTTACAAGTGGATATTTGGACAGCTTTGAGACTTTCGTTGGAAACGGAAATATCTTCACATAAAAACTAGACAGAAGCATTCTCAGAAACTTCTTTGCGATGTTTGCATTCAACTCACAGAGTTGAACATTCCTTTTCATAGAGCAGTTTTGAAACACTCTTTTTGTAGAATCTGCAATGGACATTTGAAGCGCTTTGAGGACTATGGTGAAAAAGGAAATATCTTCACATAAAAACTAGACAGAAGCATTCTCAGAAACTTCTTTGTGATGTGTGTACTCAACTCACAGAAGTGAACCTATCTTTTAATAGAGCAGATTTGAATCACTCTTTTTGAAGCATTTACAAGTGGATATTTTACAGCTATGAGGCTTTCGTTGGAAACGGGAATATCTTCACAAAAAACTAGACAGAAGCATTCTCAGACACTCCCTTGTGATGTGTGCATTCAATTCACAGTGTTGAAACTTTCTTTTGATATAGCAGATTGGAAACACTCTTTTTGCAGAATTTGCAAGTGGATATTTGGACAGCTTTAAGGCCTTCACTGGGAACGGGAGTATCTTCATATAAAAACTAGACAGAAATATTCTCAGAAACTAATTTGTGATGTGCATACTCAACTCACAGATTTGAACACTTCTTTTGATAGAGCAGTTTTGAAACACTCTCTTTGTAGAATCTGCAACTGGATATTTGGACAGTTTTGAAGCCATCACTGGAAAAGGGACTATTTTCTTATAAAAACTAGACAGAAGCATTCTAGGAAAGTTCTTTTTGATGTTTTCATTCAACTCACAAAGTTAAACATTCCCTTTCATAGAGCAGTTTTGGAACACTCTTTTTGTAGATCCTGCAAGTGGACATTTGGAGCGCTTTGAAGCCTATGGTGGAAAAAGAAATAACTTCACATAAAAACCAGATAGAAGCATACTCAGAAACAACTTTGTGATGTGTGTACTCAACTCACAGAGTTAAACCTTTCTTTTGATAGAGCAGTTTTGAAACACTCTCTTTGTAGATTCTGCTAATGGCTATTTGGACAGCTTTGAGGCTTTCGCTGGAAATGGAATATCTTCCCATAAAAACTAGACAGAAGCATTCTCAGAAACTTTTTTGTGATGTGCGCACTCAACTAACAGAGTTGAACCTTTCTTTTGAAAGAGCAGTTTTGAAACACTCTTTTTGTAGAATTTGCAAGTGGATATTTGGACTGCTTTGAGGCCTTCTTTGTAAACGGGTGTATCTTCACATAAAAACTAGGCAGAAGCGTTCTAGTAAACTACTTTTTGATTTTTGCATTCAACTCACAGAGTTGAACATTTCTTTTCATAGAGCAGTTTTGAAACATTCTTTTTGTAGAATCTGCACTTGGACATTTGGAGCGCTTTGAGGCCTATGGTGGAAAAGGAAATGTCTTCACATAAAAACCAGACAGAAGCATTCTCAGAAACTACTTTGTGATGTGTGCAGCCAACTCACAGAGTTGAACATTCCTTTTCATAGAGGAGTTTCGAAACACTCTTTTTGTAGGATCTGCAAGTGGTCATTTGGAGCGCTTTGATGCCTTCCTTCGAAAAGGGAATATCTTCACAGAAAAACTAGACCGAAGCATTTTCAGAAACATCTTTGTGATGTGTGCATTAAAGTCACAGATTTGAACCCTTCTTTTGATAGAGCAGTTTGAAACACTCTCTTTGTAGTATGTGCAAGTGGACATTTGGTGTGCATGAGGCCTATGATGAAAAAGGAAATATCTTAACATAAAAACTTGACAGAAGCATTCTCAGAATCTTATTTGTGATGTGTGCACTCCACTCACAGAGTTGAACCTATCTTTTGATAGAGCAGTTTCGAAACACTCTTTTTGTGCAATCTGCACGTGGACATTAGGAGCGCTTTGTGGCCTTCGTTGGAAACGGGAATATCTTCACATAAAAACTAAAGAGAAGCATTCTCAGAAACTTCACTGTGATATTTGCATTCAACTCACAGAGTTGAACATTCCTTGTCATAGAGCAGTTTTGAAACACTCTTTTTGCAGAATCTACAAGTGGTCTTTGGAGCACTTTGAGGCCTTCGTTTCAAACGGGAATATCTTCACTTAAAAACTGGACAGAATTATTATCAGCAACATCTTTGTGATTTGTGCATTCAACTCACAGAATTGAACCCTTCTTTTGATAGAGCAGTTTTGAAACACTCTCTTTGTAGAATCTGCAAGTGGACATCTGGTATGCTTTGAGGCTTGTGGTGAAAACGGAAATATCTTAACATAAAAACTAGACAGAAGCATTCTCTGAAACTTATTTGTGATGTGTGCACTCAGCTCACATAGTTGAACCTTTCTTTTGAGAGAGAAATTTTGAAACACTCTTTTTGTGGAATCTGCAAGCGCACATTTGGAGCGCTTTGTGGCCTACGTTGGAAACGGAAATATCTCCACATAAAAACTAGAGAGAAGCATTCTTAGAAACTTCTTTGTGATGTTTGCATTCAACTCACAGAGTTGAACTTTCTCTTTCATAGAGCAGTTTTGAAACACTCTTTTTGTAGAATCTGGAAGTGGACGTTTGGAGCGCTTTGAGGCCAATGGTGAAAAAGGAAATATCTTCACATAAAAACTAGACAGAAGCATTCTCAGAAACTTCTTTGTGATATGTGTACTCAACTCACAGATTTAAATCTTTCCTTTGATAGAGCAGTTTTGAAACACTCTTCTTGTAGAATTTACAAGTGGATATTAGGACACCTTTGAGGCTTTCCTTGGAAACGGGAATATCTTCATATAAAAACCAGACAGAAATATTCTCAGAAACTTCTTTGTGATGTTTGCATTCAACTCACAGAGTTGAACATTCCTTTTCATAGAGCAGTTTTGAAACACTCTTTCTGGAATCTGCAAGTGGACATTTGGAGCGCTTGGTGGCCTATAGTGAAAAAGGAAATATCTTCACATAAAAATGAGACAAAAGCATTCTCAGAAACTTCTTTGTGAAGTGTGTACTCAACTCACAGATGAATCTTTCTTTTGCTACAGCAGTTTTGAATCACTCCTTTTGAAGCATTTCCAAGTGGATACTTGGACAGCTTTGAGGCTTTCTTTGGAAACGGGAATATCTTCACTTAAAAACTAGACAGAAGAATTCTCAGAAACTTCTCTGTGAAGTGTGCATTCAAATCACGGTGTTGACACTTTCTTTTAATAGAGCAGATTGGAAACACTTTTTGTAGTATTTGCAATTGGATATTTGGACAGCATTGACGCTTTCTTTGGAAACGGAACTATCTTCACATAAAAACTAGACAGAAGCATTCTCAGAAACTTCTTTGTGATGTGTGCACTCAACTCACAGAGTTGATCTTTTCTTTTGATAGAGCAGTTTTGAAACACTGTTTTTGTAGTATCTGGAAGGGGACATTTGGAGCGCTTTGAGGCCTAAGGTGAAAAAGAAAATATCGTCACATAAACATTAGACAGAATCATTATCAGAAACATCTTTCTGATGTGTGCATTCAACTCACAGAGTAGAAACCGTCTTTTGATAGAGCAGTTTTGAAACACTCTCTTTGTAGAATCTGCAAGTTGACATTGGGTGTGCTTTGAGGTCTATGGTGAAAAAGAAATATCTTAACAAAAAAACTAGACAGAAGCATTCTCAGAAACTTTTTGTGATGCTTGCATTCAACTCACAGAGTTGAACACTCCTCTTCATAGAGCAGTTTTGAAACACTCTTTTGTAGTATCTGGAAGTGGATATTTGGGGGGCTTTGAGGCCTATGGCAAAAAAGGAAATATCTTCACATGAAAACTAGACAGAAGCATTCTCAGAAACTTCTTTGTGATATCTGTAATGAAGTCAGAGAGTTGAACCTTTCTTTTGATAGAGCAATTTTGAAACACTCTCTTTGTAGAATCTGCAAGTGGACATTTGTTGTGCTATGAGACCTACAGTGAAAAAGGAAATGTCTTCATAGGAAAACTAGACAGAAGCATTCTCAGAAACTTCTTTGAGATGTGTGCAGTCAACTCACAGAGTTAAACTTTTCTTTTGATAGAGCAGATTGGAAACACTCTTTTTGTAGTATTTACAAGTGGGTATTTGGACAAATTTGAGGCCTTCGCAGGAAACGAGAATATCTTCACATAAAAACAAGATAGAAGCATTCTAAGAAACTTCTTTGTGATGTGTGTCCTCAATTCACAGAGTTGAGCATTTCTTTTGAAAGAGAAGTTTTGAAACACTCTCTTTGTACGATCTGCAAGTCGATATTTGGAGAGATTTGAGGCTCTCATTGGAAACGGGAATATTTTCACATAAAAACTAGGCAGAAGCATTCTCAGAAACTTCTTTGTGATGTTTGCATCCAACTCACAGAGTTGACCCTTCCTTTTCATAGAGCAGTTTTGAAACACTCTTTTTGTAGAATCTGCAAGTGGACGTTTGTAACGATTTGAGGCCTATGGTGAAAAAAGAAATATCTACAAGTAAAAAGTAGCCAGAGGCATTCTCAGAAACTACTTTGTTATGTGTGTACTCAACTCACAGAGTAAAAGCTTTCTTTTGATAGAGCTGTTCTGAAACACACTTTTTGTAGAATTTACAAGTGGATATTAAGTCAGCTTTGAGGCTTTCATTAGAAACGGGAATATCTTCACATAAAAACCAGAGAGAAGAATTCTCAGAAACTTCTTTGTGATGTGTGCATTCAACTCACAGAGTTGAAACTTTCCTTTGACAGAGTAGATTTGAAACACTCTTTTTATAGAATTTGCAAGTGGATATTTGGACAGCTTTGAGGCCTTCGCTGGAAATGGGAATATCTTCACATAAAAACTAGACAGAAGCATTCTCAGAAACTACTTTGTGATGCTTGCATTCAACTCACAGAGTTGAACATTACTTTTCATAGAACAGTTTTGAAACTCTCTTTTTGTAGAGTCTGTAAGTGGACTCTTGGAGCGCTTTGAGGCCTATGGTGAAAAAGGAAATATCTTCATATAAAAACTAAACAGACGAATTCTCAGAAAATTTTTGTGATGTTTGCATTCAACTCACAGAGTTGAACATTCCTTTTCATAGAGCAGATTTGAAACACAATTTTTGTAGAATCTGCGAGTGGTCAATTGTAGCACTTTGAGGCCTTCTTTCAAATCGGGAATATCTTCACATAAAAACTAGACAGAAGCATTGTCAGAAACAACCTTGTGATGTGTGCATTCAACTCACAGAGTTGAAACCTTCTTTTGGTAGAGCAGCTTTGAAACACTGTCTTTGTAGAATCTGCAGGTGGACATTTGTTGTGCTTTGAGGCCTATGTTGAAAAAGGAAATATCTTAACATGAAAACTAGGCAGAAGCATTTTCAGAAACTTCTTTGTAATGTTTGCATTCAACTCACGGAGTTGAACATTCCTTTACATAGGACAGTTTTGAAACACTCTTTTTGTAATATCTGGAAGTGGACATTTGGAGCGCTTTGAGACCTATGGTGAAAAAGGAAATATCTTCACATAAAAACTAGACAGAAGCATTCTCCAAAACTTCTTTGTGATGTTTGCATTAAACCCACAGATTTGATCACTTCTTTTCATAGAGGAGTTTTGAAACACTCTTTTTGTAGAATCTCCAAGTGGTCATTTGGAGCATTTTGAGGCCTTCTTTCGAAAGAGGAATATCTTCACATAGAAACTAGACAGAATCATTATCAGACATACCTTTGTGATGTGTGCATTGAACTGACAGAGTTAAACCTTTCTTTTGTTAGAGGAGTTTTGAAACACTCTCTTTGTAGGATCTGCAAGTGGACATTCGGTGTGCTTTGAGGCCTATGGTGAAAAAGGAAATATCTTAATATAAAAACTCGACAGAAGTATTGTCAGAAACTTTTCTGTGATGTGTGCAGACAACTCACAGAGTGGAACCTTTCTTTTGATACAGCAGTTTTGAAACACCCTTTTTGTTTAATCTGCACGTGGACATTTGGAGTGCTTTGTGGCCTTCGTTGGAAACGGGAATATCTTCACATAAAAACTAGACAGAAACATTCTCAGAAACTTCTTGGTGATGTTTGCATTCAACCCACAGAGGTGAACATTCCCTTTCATAGAGCAGTTTTGAAACACTCTTATTGTAGTATCTGGAATTGGATATATTGAGCGCTTTGAGGCCTATGGTGAAAAAGGTAATACCTTCACATAAAAAGTCGACAGAAGCATTCTCAGAAACTTCTTAGTGATGTGTGTACTCAACTCACAGAGGTAAAACTTTCTTTTGAAAGAGCACTTTTGAAACACTCTTCTTGTAAAATTTAAAAGTGGATATTAGGACACCTTTGAGGCTTTCGTTGGAAACGGGAATATCTTCATATAAAAACTAGACAGAAGCATTCTCAGAAACTTCCTTGTGATGTCTGCGTTCAATGTACAGTGTTGAACATTTCTATTCATAGAGCAATTTTGAAACACTCTTTTTGTAGAATCTGCAAGTGGATATTTGGATAGCTTTGAAGATTTCATTGGAAACGGGAGCATCTTCATATAAAAACTAGACAGAATCATTCTCAGAAACATATTTGTGATGTGTTCACTCAACTCACAGAGTTGAACCCTTCTTTTGTTAGCAGAGTTTTGAAACACTCTCTTTGCAGGATCTGCAAGTGGATATTTGGTGTGCTTTGTGGCCTGTGATGAAAAAGGAAATATCTTAACAGAAAAACTAGACAGAAGCATTGTCAGAAACTTATTTGTGATGTGTGTACACAACTCACCGTGTTGAATCTTTCTTTTGATACAGCAGTTTTGAAAAACTCTTTTGTGGAATCTGCATGTGGACATTTGGAGCGCTTTGTGGCCTTCGTTGGAAACGGGAATATGTTCACATAAAAACTAGACAGAAGCATTCTCAGAAACTTCTTTGAGATGTGTGCATTCAACTCACACAGTGGAAACTTTCTTTTCATAGAGCAGATTGGAAACACTCTTTTTGTAGAATTTGCAAATGGATATTTGGACAGCTTAGAGGCCTTCACAGGAAACAGGTATACCTTCACATAAAAACAAGACAGAAACATTCTGGGAAACATCTTTGTGATGCGTGTCCTCAACTCACAGAGTTGAACATTTGTTTTTCATAGAGCAGTTTTGAAACCCTCTCTTTATAGGATCTGCAAGGGAATATTTGGACAGCTTTGAGGCTTTCGTTGGAAACGAGAATATTTTCACATAAAAACTAGTCAGAAGCATTCTCAGAAACTTATTTGTGATGTGTGCACACAACTCACAGAGTTGAACATTCCTTTTCATACAGCAATTTTGAAACACTCTTTTTCAGAATCTGTAAGTTGTCATTTGGAGCACTTTGAGGCCTTCATTCGAAACGGGAATATCTTCATATAGAAACTAGACAGAAGCATTCTCAGAAACTTCTTTATAATGTGTGTACTCAACTCACAGAGTTAAACCTTTCTTTTGATAGAGCAGCTTGGAAACACTCTTCTTGTAGAATTTACAAGTGGATATAAGGACACCTTTAAGGCTTTCCTTGGACACGGGAATATCTTCACATAAAAACCAGACAGAAGCATTCTCAGAAAATTCTTTGTGATGCTTTCAATCATCTCACAGAGATGAACATTCCTTTTCATAGAGCAGTTTTGAAACACTCTTTTTGTAGAATCTGCAAGTGGAGATATGGAGTGCTTGGTGGCCTATGGTGAAAAAGGAAATATCTTCACATAAAAACTAGACAAAAGCATTTTCAGAAACTTCTTTGTGATGCGTGTACTCAACTCACAGAGATGAATCTTTCCTTTGCTAGAATAGTTTTGAATCACTATTTTTGAAGCATTTACAAGTGGATATTTGGACAGCTTTGAAGCTTTGGTTGGTAACAGGAATATCTTCACATAAAAACTAGATAGAAACATTCTTAGAAACTTCTTTGGGATATGTTCATTCAACTCACAGTGTTGAAACTTTCTTTAAATAGAGCAGATTGGAAACACTCTTTTTGTAGAATTTGCAAATGGATATTTGGACAGCTTTGACGCTTTCATGGGAAACGGGGGTATCTTCACATAAAAACTGGACAGAAGCATTCTCAGAAACATCTTTGTGATGTGTGCATTCATCTCACAGAGTTGAAACTTACTTTCGATAGAGTGGATTTGAAACACTCTTTTTGTAGAATTTGCAAGTGGATATTTGGACAGCTTTGACGCTTTCATTGGAAACGGGTGTATCTTCCCATAAAAAATAGACAGAAGAATTCTCAGAAACTTCTTTGTGATGTGTGTACTCAACTCACAGAGTTGAAACTTTCTTTTGATAGAGAGTTTTGAAACACTCTTTTTGTAGAATCTGCAAGTGGATATTTGGATAACTTTGAGGCTTTCGTGGGAAACGCGAATATCTTCACATAAAAAGTAGACAGGAGAATTATCAGAAACTTCTTTGTGATGTTTGCATGCAACTCACAGAGTTGAACGTTATTTTTCATAGGGCAGTTTTGAAACACTCCTTTTGTAGTATCTGCAAGAGGACTTTGGAGTGCTTTGAAGCCTATGGTGAAAAATAAAATATCATCACAAGAAAACTAAACAGAAGCATTCTCAGAAACTTCTTTGTGATGTGTGCATTCAACTCACAGAGTTGAACATTCCCTTTCATAGAGCAGTTTTGAAACACTATTTTTGTAGTATCTGCAAGGGGACTTTTGGAGCACTTTGAGGCCTATGGAGAAAAAGGAAACATCTTCACATAAATACTAGACCGAAGCATTCTCAGAAACTACTTTGTGATGAGTGCATTCAACTCACAGTGTTGAACATTTCTTTTGATAGAGCAGATTGGAAACCCTCTTTATGTAGAATTTGCAAGTGGATATTTGGACAGCTTTGAGGCCTTCACGGGAAACCGGAAGATCTACAAATAAAAACAGGACAGAAACATGCTAAGAAACTTCTTTGTGATATGTGTACTCAACTCACAGAGTTGAACATTTCTTTTTTTAGAATAGTTTTGAAACACTCTCTTTGTAGGATCTGCAAGGGAATATTTGGACAGCTTTGAGGCTTTCATTGGAAATGGGAATATCTTCACATAAAAACTAGTCAGAAGTATTCTCAGAAACTTCTTCATGATGTTTGCATTCAACTCACAGAGTTGAACATTCCCTTTCATAGAGCAGTTTTGAAACACTCTTTTTGTAGTATCTGGAAAAGGACATTTGGAACCCATTGAGGCCTATGCTGAAAAAGGAAATATCTTCACATAAAAACTAGACAGAAGCATTCCCAGAAACTTCTCTGTGATGTGTGTACTCAGCTCACAGAGTTGAACCTTTCTGTTGATACTGCAGTTTTGAAACACTCTTTTTGTAGAATCTGCAAGTGGATATTTGGATAGCTTTTAAGCTTTCGTTGGAAACGGGAATGTCTTCACATAAAAACTAGACAGAAGCATTCCCAGAAACTTTTTTGTGATGCTTGCATTCTACTCACAGAGGTGAACATTCCTTTTCATAGAGCAGTTTTGAAACATTCTTTCTGAAGACTCTGTAAGTGGAAACTTGGAGCTCTTTGATGCATACGCTGAAAAAGGAAACATCTTCCTATAAAAACTAGACAGAAGAATTCTCAGATACTTCTTTGTGATGTGTGTACTCAACTCACAGACTTGAACTTTTCTTTTGATACAGCAGTTTTGAAACACTCCTTTGGAGAGAGTGCAAGTGGATATTTGGATAGCTTTGAGGATTTCGTTGGAAACGGGAATACCTTCACCTAAAAACTAGAGAGAAGCATTCTCAGAAACTTATTTGTGATGTTGCATTCATCTTACAGAGTTGAAAATTCCTATTCATAGAGCAGTTTTGAAACACTCTTTTTGAGGAATCTGCAAGTGGATATTTGGAGTGATTTGAGACCTATGGTGAAAAAGGAAATATCTTCACATAAAAAGTAGACAGAAGCATTCTCAGAAACTACTTTGTGATGTGTGTACTCAACTCACAGAGTTAAACCTTTCCTTTGATACAGCAGTTTTGAAAAACTCTTTATGTAGAATCTGCAAGTGCACATTTGGAGCGATTTGAGACCTATGGTTGAAAAGTAAATATCTTCACATAAAAAGTAGACAGAAGAATTCTTACAAATTACTTCGTGATGTGTGTACTGAAGTGACAGAGTTAAACCTTTCCTTTGATACAGCAGTTTTGAAACACTCTTCTTGTGGAATTTACAAGTGGATATTAACACAGCAATGAGGATTTCATTGGAAACGGGAAAATCGTCTCATAAAACTAGACAGAAGCATTCTCAGAAACTTCTTTGTGATGTGTGCATTCAACTCACAGAGTTGAAACATTCTTTTGATGAAGCAGATTGGAAACACTCTTTTGTAGAATTTGCAAGTGAATATTTTGACTGCTTTGACGTTTTCGCTGGAAACGGGTTGATCTTCACATAAAAACTAGACAGAAGCATTCTCAGAAACTTCTATGTGATGCTTGCATTCAACTCACAGAGTTGAACATTCCTTTTCATTGAGCAGTTTTGAAACACTCTTTTTGTAGGATCTGTAAGTTGAAACTTGGAGCGCTTTGAGGCCTATGATGAAAAAGGAGATATCTTCCCATAAAAGCTACACACAAGAATTC